>NC_000006.12:101282911-101434426 GCF_000001405.40 Homo sapiens | reverse complement strand
AAGTATGTGAAAGTTTGGACCAAGACTTTGCCATTGAAGATCCCTTCTAGCTCTGAAATTCCACTATTTCGAGTTTGCCTGAGAAGAGAGAGACTTGTATGAGAACTCATCTCTCAGGCCACGTCACTCTTTAGGGTTGATTACAGAGACTTTCCTCACAAATGGTCCTAGGATATGTATCCCATTGCATCCTCTCTTCCTCACCTCCAATTGGAGCATGGGCTGAAGGCCTCTAGAACTCTGCTGCTGTTAGTCCCAACTCACACACAGGAATAAGTAGCAAGCAGGAAGCCCACTTTTGTGTTATTTGCACGTTAGTGTCTAAAACACCCCATGGCCACATGCTTTTCTATATTTAAGGGTGACCTTTAAGTCACATCTATACCCGTGTCAGCGGGCTACAGTAAAATTTGGGGCCACCTCGTTGCAGTGACAGGTCATGCACTATTAATTCTAGCATAGTACAGGCGGACTTCAACTCTCTAGTCGCTATTTTAAGATCTATTCCTGGCCTGTACGACTCATAAAATGTTCCTTAAGCTACTCTTGAGAGTAATTTACATAAGCAACTGGTGATCATTAATTGGGTGACTGCAAATATAGGCAAACAGGGGATAAATAAATGTAGAGTTTTCTCTTTTAATCAAACCGTTCACTTCTAGATTCAGACTAAAAATGTTCTCATCTCTATGGGCCATTGCTCTGTTTTGGAATGTTAAATGCAAAGCAATATATCTTGCTCTTCAGCATAAAGAAAATACAGTTAAAACAATAAGTAAGAAAAAAAAAGAATAGTACCTGAGGTAGGAGATTTTCAATGAAGAAAAAAAATAAAGATAATTTTTAGACACATCAGATCAGACAACATAAAAGGAACAAAAACATAAGCAATAATAAATATTTATTGCACTCCTACCACTTGCAATGCACTGAGCTGAGGCCATTACATCTGTTATCTCTTTTAATACTCATAACCATCCTAAGAAGTAGTTGCTAATATTATCCTCATTTTTATAGATGAAGAAATTAAGGTTAAGCAATTTGCTGCACGTCACGCAGGTATAAAAGCAGCAAGTCAGGCCAGTCTGCATTCTGGGCTTTTCAGCCTTGAAGAAGTTAGTTGATTCAGTCCTGCCAGAAGGTAAATTGAAAAGAAATGGAGGTAACTTGCATTTCTCAAGTGTTTTCTAGATGCCGAGCACTTTATTGGATACTTTACATACTTTTTCGTGTCTATGATTCTCACAACGGCAACAAGAGTAGTTATTATTACCTTCATTTTACAGAAAAAAAATCTCTTGGGATTTTCTGGGATTTTCTCTTGGGATTTTTCAGTTCTAAAGCCTCAGGGTGAGGTGCCATGAGAGGCCAATAGATCTCAACTCAGCGTTTGTGTCTCAAACACTCGACCTCTGAGTCTCTTTTGGCCTGACCACCTTATGTCAGTTTCATTCCCTTCTCTTCCTCCTCCTCCTTGAAATTACAGAGTCTGGAAAGGGGGTAGATCTTTCTTCCTCTGTTTTATATGTATAATGTTTTAATAGTGGAGAATGTTCACTCTTCCACACTTATTTGTTCTTTGTTGGTTTGCCAAAGAAGAAGAAAAAAATATTTAGATGATCCCTTCTCAAGAAAATAGCCTAGCTTATATGGTCACTATTGTGCTCTTTAATCCTATTCTTGTGTGACAGAAACAATATTATCATTATCTTTTTCATAACAAATTCATCATACCCTCCTCTCACCCTAAGCAGATGAATGCCTAGATAGATTAAAATGAATTTTTCTTCCCAAAAAGACAAAATAGAAGTGCACATTTGTATTTAAATATCACTTTCAATATGTAGGTATCAATCTCCTCCTGTAGATTATGAGAATATGGGACAGAACCCCATTCATCTTTGTATTCCTACAACCTGTTAGGCGTTCAATAAATGTTTACTTAGTGGATTGTCATTGGGTATTATCTGGGGGGTAAATATCATTTACTCCAATGTTTGCAACTGATATTATAGTATAAATTAGTTTACCAAAATAACTTAAGAATACTCCAAAGGATTAAGACACTAGAATTCCGTAAGAGCAAAGACTCATCTTTCTAGTAAGCACATAGGACAGAGTCAGAGACAGCATAAGGTTACAGTAAATATTAGTTCAATGAATGATTCAGGAAGCAACTCTTCCTAGGGGTGGCAGAAAAATATATAAAATATAAAATATGGACGAGGGACTTGATTAAATTATAGGCAGGCAGCCCCAGGAGAAGGTCCTGGCAAGAGGGAACAAATATGAGAGCATGGGGTATCTGCAGGGAGCAGGGCAGGGTCTAATGAGAAGAGCAACAATTAAATAGCCACAGGGTTCTTAATTATGCGCAAGAGTATTAATTTCTTTAAAAATTGCTCAAAGTGTATTATTAGCTTCTTGTATGTGGACAGTAAAAAACAATACAGAGTCCGCTTTCTAATGAGGCATAATGTTTTGTTGGGAACACATCTCATGGAGTGTTAGATGATTCCCCATGCCAGCTATCCATGCCTGAAAAAAAGTGCACGTGGGTCTACACTAAATGGGTGATGTTATCATGGGCAGGAAGCTTTATGCCCCTTGAACCACTTCAGTGTTGGAAATGTCTCCCCTTTAATAATACTATTAAATCAGTAGTTATAAAGTATCCATGCAGGCCAAGTAACAAAGTGATAACCAATATTCCATTTTTCAAATGGTCAAACTGATGCTAAAAACAAGTAATATGTAATACCATAAGTTAACTTTGTTTTGGTCACACATTCTCTTCTATACATACAGAAATACACCAAACACACACACATCAGGTAACACCTTCCTTTTTTTTCACTTGCCACTGCCAACCCACTCTCCATGGATCACAGTGAAAGAAGAGCCTCACAGCACTTGTCCTTGACAATGGCGCCACATGTGCCAAGCCGGCTTTGCTGGGGATGACGCCCCCAAGCCATGTTCCCCTCCATTGTTGGGCGCCCCCAGCACCAGAATATAAACTCTGTCAGAGTAAAGACTTGTCTTTCTAGTAAGCACACAGGACAGCATCAGAGATAGCATAAGGTTCCAATAAATATTACTGGAACTGAGCCAGAAGGACTCCCACATGGGTGAAGAGGCCCAGAGCAAGCATGGCATCCTGACATTGAAGTACTCCTTCAAGCACAGCATTATTTCCAACTGGTACAACATGGAGAAGATCTGGCATCATACCCTCTGCAATGAGCTGCATGTGGTTCCTGAGGAGCACCCAGTGCTGCTGCCCGAGGCTCCTCTGAACCCCAAGGCCAACAGAGAGAAGTTGACTCAGATCATGTTTGAGACCTTGGATACCCCCTGCCATGTATGTGGCACCCAGGGCCATGCTGTCCCTGTACACCTCCGGTAGTACTACTAGTATTGTCATGGACTCTGGAGATGGGGTCACTTACACAGTGCCATCTTTGAGGGCTATGCCTTTCCCTAGGCCATCCTGCACCTGGACCTCATGAAGATCCTCACATAGTGTGGCTACAGCTTCACCACCACTGCCTAGTGGGAGATAGTGCGCGACATCAAGGAGAAGCTGTGCTATGCTGCCCTAGACTTTGAGCAGGTGATGGCCACCATGGCATCCTCTTCCTCCCTGGAAAGGAGCTAGTTGCTGATTTACGGCTAGGTCATCACCATCAGCAGTGAGAGGTTCTGGTGTCCAGAGGCGCTTTTCCTTTTTCCTGAGAATGGAATCTTGAGGCATCCTTGGGACCACCTTCAACTCTGTCATGAAGTGTGGTGTGCACATTCACAAGGACCTATATGCTGACACAGTGCTATCTGGAGGCACAATCACATACCTGGGCATCACTGACAGGATATAGAAGGAGATCACTGCCCGGACACCCAACACCACGAAGATCAAGATCATCACCCCCACTGAGCTCAAATACTCGGTGTGGATCAGAAGCTCCATGCTGGCCTCCCTTTCCACCTTCCAGCAGATGTGGATCACCCAGCAGAATAGGCTGTGAGCAGATGTGTAGCATTTGCTGCATGGGTTAATTCAGAACACTTCATGCTAGTCTCATGAAACTAGAGTAAGCCTTTGAAAAGAAATTTGTCCCAGAAGCTTGTATCTGATTACCAGCACTGGATTATAAAACTTGCTGCTGATTTTGACTTTGTATTGAACTTAACTGTTCCCTTGGTATTTGTTTAATACCCTGTATGTATCTTGGATTTAAACCCTTAGTACATGTAACTCGGTCACTCAGTGGCTGAGGTGAGAACATGATTGTGGAAGAAAAGTCCGTGGTTTGGTGAGTCTGTGTGCCCAGCAGTCTGTCGATCTGTGCAGGTATTAATGTGTCAGAGCTCAGTGTTCCAGGATTTCTCTAAAGGCTGGCAAGAGCTCCTGAACCAGTTGTTTCTGTCTTGCTGGTCTACAAAGGTTAGAGAAGTCCAAGCGTTAGGACCCAGTTTCCTTTCTTACCTGGTGTTTTCCTGCCAGAACACCGTGGGCTGTTACTTGCCAGGAGTTGAAAGTTGTCTGCATTAATACCTGTAAATTTATTCATCCTTTTAATTTATGTAAGATATTTTTGCACACTATTCTCAATTCTTTAAGAAATGACAACAAATTTTGGCTTTCTACTGTTATGTGAGAACATTAGGCCCCAGCAACACGTCATTGTGTAAGGAAAAATAAAGTGCTGCTATAATTGGAAAAAAAGAAAACAGAAAAAAAGAAAAAAACCCTCTCCATTTTTTTCAGGAAGTCTGTTACATTTTTCTTCCTTCTTATAGGCCAGAGACCTCTTTATGGCTCCTTACCAAGAACTTTTCCAGGTTGCCACTGAGAGAAAAGATGTTAATTATCTACTTAGCACTTTCTTTTTAGGCTCTTGGTACTAACTGCTCCTCATTTCTCTGCCAAGATAATTCTTGGTCTGTGATCAGAGCTCTGAAGCCCTTATGCTATCATTCTGACTCACAGCTGTGAATTACCCTGCTGAAAATATAAGGGAAGAAGGACAGTGCATATGTAGTTAGGGTGTGCACTACATCTCTCTCTAGTTAAGTGTTAATGAAACATTACGAGCAACAAGGGTATCATGTCTCCTAGTCCTATGTAAATTCTCTCATTCATCTGCAATTTGATTCCCCTCTGAACGTGCCATTTACAAAATTGAGGACCTTGTGGTTCCTGAATTAGGAATAACAAGTAAATAGCTGCTTGTAAAGTATTTTGACTGAAGATCCGGTTCAGTTCATATGTGTCATTCTCAGTAGGTATTATGGGGACACCAAGGTCACTATGACTTTGCTATTCCCAAGAGAACATATAATTAGATTGCAAAACACACAATGTTTAGTAAGTTGGACTCAGGTTGAGGTGCAAATGTCAGCATTTTAAAGTTGTAGTTAATTAAAAAGTCATTGAATTTTTCAAAGTCTTTGTCTTAGAATTCTAATGCAGCAAGTCTGATAAGAAACCTAAGAATTTGAAAGGAGAAAGAACAATGATAAAACATATTTAAAAGAATGACAGTGTGATGCAGTGGAAGAGCAGGAAGACAGGGATGTGAGCAGAAGTCTAACCCCCTGTCACCCACCTGCAGACTAACACTAATTACTTCAACACTTAACGTTCCTTAGGAGAGGAAACAAGGCTACTGAACAAAGCCTTAAGATGTCCTTTGCTTTTAAACTCTATGATTTTATAGATTCTCATTACATATTTTTAAACTAATATATGTATTTTCATTCAAACTTGGTTCTTTGTCAAAGTTAAGGATTCTATATTGTTTAATAATGTTAATAATTTCCTTACGTAACTGCAAGAACCATTTTTTATTTCAATATAGTTTTTTAAATCAACATTTCCATAGGTCTTCTAAAAATCAAATTAGAAATAATAGAATGTGATATTCTTTAATCCTACTAAGATTTTTAAAATTATATCACAAATGTTAAATGACCAAAGCCTTAGGCCTTATCTTCTGTGTTGGCAACTGACTGACAAAATCCATTCATTTTTGTTCCTCTCATTTAATTCTGTAAAAATATCTGTAACCAGTAGAAATGCATTTCCCTCACTTCAATAAGGAAGGCAGCATTTTTAAAAACTGCATGTTAACAAATCAAAGCTGTATTAAAGAATTTTCAGTGCCTAACTAGCAAACAGAGTAGACAACAAGGTAATTGTCAAGCTCAAGGGAACTCCAGATTTTTGTTTTATTTTTAACGTGTTTCATATTCAGAAATAATTACTGTGTGTTGGTCTGGTTCACATGAAACAAAATCGCTGACATTTTTGTTCATAGGTGATAAAATGTGGATTTGTAATTCAAACACAGATATTAATTCCTAATGAGCTAATTAAAGAAAATCTAATAGCAGGATGTGTTAAGCAAAAGATGACTCCAGAACTACTTTCCGAGTACATACATCTGAAGGTTAGAAATTAGCAAAGCATTTAACATTCTCAAAAATATTACCCATTGCCTCTGTGATCCATCGAAGCATCCCAGAAATTTTACATCACAGAGACCACCAACATCTTTTAGCTGTGAATTGCTAGCATTTATTCAGTGAATGAATAAATGAATGGATAAATGGCAGACAAAGTGACTGACTAACAGACTGACTAAACACAGAATGACCCCACTGGCTGACTGAATGACCAATTCACCTAAATGAATCATTTAATTCTACCCAAAATTTTATATTTTCATGCACACAAAATTTACCGATACAAAGTATTGCCATAATTCAAATCTGGTAATTTGTAATCCATATTCAAAATTACCAGGGAGCACAGGTACATTCTTTGCTAGAAAAATAATAAAGTACTGAATTGTGCCAGCTTAGTTGTTCATTCAGCAAATATTGACTGGCTGCACTTTACGATAACAGCACCAGGGTATGGATGCAGAGATGAAAAGTATATAGTCCCTGCCTTCATGCACATTTTCCAGCTACTTAGGTAACCATATGTAACTAAATATATTCGTGGATAAAGTTAACTATGAAAAGGGAAGACAAATATGTAACTTCCAAAACAGGATTATTTAGATGAACCACAGAATTTCAGAAAAGCAGAGCAATGAGAATGGGGATGGCACTTTATAAAGGTTTTATTGAATGTGGAAGAAATTTCAACAAAAAGTTCAATGAGTGGGAGGAGCGGTGTCAAGAAGTAGGCACCTGGCCAATGCTGACATTTAGTTGTCATGCCTTGGTTCAGCTGTAGAAGTTGTTAATATATTGAGATACTTCCATACCATGTGGTAATTGGCTTCTGCCCCAACCTTCCCCAAGGCCTTCCTGCCATCCAAGCTCCACAGGCCCCTCTCATGGGGCCTCTCACAATTAAACAACTAACATTTTAAGGCATGGCTGGCTCCCTAAGACCTGACTCCAGATTGGGATATGTGTCTGTGCTTTACAGGATATTAAGCATATTATATATCACCCTTAAACTAGGCCTTTAAAGAAAACATAGCATATTGTTTGGATTGTCTAGAGCACAGAGGACCGCTGGAAAGGGGTCTTAAAAATCTGATTATGTAGGACTTTAAATGCCAGGCCAAGCAGTTTGAATTTCATTTAGCAAGCAGTATTATTGAAGCTGAAGGGTGAAAGGGAAGAAAAGGGAAGGAATCAGTAGGAGCAAAACCATATTTTAGGAAAATCAATCTGGCAGTAGTGCATAGGATAGATTAGAAAGAGAGAGGCAGGCACAAATATGACAGGGGCTACACCATTTGAGTGCCTGTAGACAGTAGATCCTCTGTAAACTTTTTAATATTTGATACTTTTATTTTTCCTGATACTACTAATATTTTTGTATTGATACATAATAGTTGTATATGTTTATGGCGTACATGTGATATTTTGGGAGTAACAAATAGAATGGTGGCTACCAAAGGCTGGGAAGTGTAGGGAGGAGGGGGGATAAAGAGAGGTTGGTTAATTGATACAAAAATACAGTTAGATAGAAGAAATAAGTTCTAGTGTTCAATAGCGTGGCAGGGTGACTATAATTAAGAATTTATAGTATGTTTCAAAATAGCTAGAAGACACTCTGTAATCTTCCCCATAACCATGTTGGTTAAGTACTATAGTATTACTCATCTTACACAACAGAGACAAGGAGAGACATTAAGAATCCTGCCACAGGTCACACAGCTAATGCATACATAACAAAGCTGAGGTTTTACTCCCAGAGGTCTGGCTCCAGAGCCCATCACCTTAAGCACAGTGTTGTACTGTGTCTCAATACACAAAGTGGAAGATTATTAATAAAGACTGGAATTAGGAATTTGAATGCTTAGCGAAAAGATGTAATGATCACAATATGGCCACCTCTCAATAGATGTGGGTAAAGAAGAAAAAGAGAAATCAAAGATGCCTCCAAGCTTTCAAGTCTGAAAGAATGAAAAGTCCATCAACAACAACAAAAAGGAAATTCACGAGGAAAAACTAACTTGTGAATAATAGATGGCCTCAGTGCTAGTGAGACTTGCCAATCAGTATGCCCTTCAAATCCTGGAGAGGAAAACTGATGCTCAGAAGACAGGACAGAACTCTCCTCAGGAATAACGCAAAAGGAGTGTTAGTAGAAGCCAGGGGAATGCTGGGCATGCAGAGAGCAGAGTTGACAATTCTCAGAGAAATTTAGATTTTAAAGGTCTAGGAAAAGAGCAAACAAAGCCAGTAAAAATCAGTCTATCATAAATTTGAATTGGCCTGTGATACATGAGTTGATTGCAAGAAAATTCAATTGTTCAAAAATAAATATGCCTTGCTGTCTTTAAAACTTTAATACAAAGTGAAAAATGTAGGATAACATTGTATACAGTTACAGTAAAAATTTGGGAAAAAAGATGCATTTTGGAAAAACACGAAATGGAATACGCTGAAATACTATCAGCAGTTGTGTGAAGTTGCTCTTGTGAGTGATGTCTTACTCTCTCAATTTTCCATGTTTTATGCAATATAATTATAGAAATTATATAATAAAATATACTTGTTAAAATATAATTAAACTGGTACAACAGAGTGCTAGTCAACAGTAGTATGACTAATTGTTCTACAGTATTTATTAAATCTAATGTCTCTACTAGTTTTTATGCTTATCTATAAAAATTTGGATAAACTAGTTCAACCATTGTGGAAGTCAGTGTGGTGATTCCTCAGGGATCTAGAACCAGAAATACCATTTGACCCAGCCATCCCATTACTGGGTATATACCAAGAGGATTATAAAACATGCTGCTATAAAGACACATGCACATGTATGTTTACTGCGGCACTATTCACAATAGCAAAGACTTGGAACCAACCCACATGTCCAACAATGATAGACTGGATGAAGAAAATGTGGCACTGCACATGTATGTTTATTGTGGCACTATTCACAATAGCAAAGACTTGGAACCAACCCAAATGTCCAACAATGATAGACTGGATTAAGAAAATGTAGCACATATACACCATGGAATACTATGCAGCCATAAAAAATGAAGAGTTCGTGTCCTTTGTAGGGACATGGATGAAGCTGGAAACCATCATTCTCAGCAAACTATCGCAAGGACAAAAAACCAAACACCACATGTTCTCACTCATAGGTGGGAATTGAACAATGAGAACACATGGACACAGGAAGGGGAACATCACACTCCGGGGACTGTTGTGGGTGGGGGGAGAGGGGAGGGATAGCATTAGGAGATATAACTAATGCTAAATGACGAGTTAATGGGTGCAGCACACCAACATGGCACATGTATACATATGTAACAAACCTGCACATTGTGCACATGTAACCTAAAACTTAAAGAATAATAATAATTTTTAAAAAATGAAAAAAAAAGAAAATGTGGCACACATACACCATGGAATACTATGCAGCCATAAAAAATGATGGGTTCATGTCCTTTGTAGGGACATGGATGAAGCTGGAAACCATCATTCTTAGCAAACTATCGCAAGGACAAAAAACCAAACACCACATGTTCTCACTCATAGGTGGGAATTGAACAATGAGAACACATGGACAGAGGAATGGGAACATCACACATCAGGGCCTGTTGTGGGGTGGGGGGATGGGGGAGGGATAGCATTAGGAGATATACCTAATGTTAAATGAAGAGTTACTGGGTGCAGCACACCAACATGGCACATGTATACATATGTAACAAACCTGCATGTTGTGTACATGTACCCTAAAACTTAAAGTATAATAAAAAAAAATAAAAAAAATTCTGAAGAAAAAAAATTTGGATAGAGCAAGATTCATAGCACTTGTTATGAATTTTATTGCAAGTTGAATCTCCTGTTTCTTTACAGAAAATAGTAACAACCCCCAAATACATATATTTTCCATAGGAGAAATCAAATCCTCATGAGTAATCATTATAATCTTTACTCTGGCTGTAGACATTTACCACTCCCACAGCTACCTTACATTCCATATAATTTCTTTTTTCATCTATCCATGAACATTTAGGTTGTTTCCATATCTTGGCTATTGTGAATAATGCTGCAATGAACATGAGAGTGCAGCTATCTCTTCATGATTCTGATTTCAATGCTTCTGAATAAATGCCCAGAAGTTGGGTTGACTGATCATAAGGTAGTTCAATATGGGATTAGTATCAAAAGTTTTGAATAAATGCTTGGAAGTTGGATTGACTGATTATAAGGTAGTTCTATAAGGGATTAATATCAAAACTGTATAAGAAGTTCCTACAACTCAATAGCAAAAATAACAAAAACAAATAACCTGATTTTAAAGTTGGCAAAGACATGAATAGACATTTCACCAAAGAAGATATACAAATGGCCAACTGGTAAATGAAAAGATGCTCAACAAAACAACTCATCAGGAAATTGCAAATCAGACTACAATGAATGATATCACTTCATATCTGTTAGTCTACTTTCAAAAATAAATACATAAAAAAACAAGTGCTGTCGAGAATGTGGAAAATTGGAACACTCGTATACTGTTGTCAGGACTGTAAAATGGTGCTGTTGCTATGGAAAACACGAGGGAAGTCTATCCAAATTTTAAAAATAGAGCTTTTTAAAGTATACCTAAGAACAAGTTTCTCTTCCCTACTCACATGAATAAAATGGGGGTCTCTCTTGATATTCAAAACTAAGTTAGTCTGGAAAATATACTCAGCTGTGAGCTCATTAGAGTCACTGAAGAACTCACTATTTCTAACCTTTGGTATCTAAGAGTGTTCAATTTATCCAAGGGTTTGTCTGAATGGGGGTGGATGGATAGAGAAAGAGAGTAACATACAAAGACCGGTGTCTCTATATTGGTCATTGTTAGAGTCAGCTGAATAGTCAGCAGTGCCTTCAGACTTTTATATTTCAGCATGTGCTAAAGTGCACAGCCCATCTGCATCCCATGTGGTAATGAATTATAACTGAGAGAACACTGAAGTGTTATGACAACATGAAAGTTCAGATGAATTCCCATAAGAGCCATAAGAAAAAATGCACTGTAAACCAAGGAAAATATACAGAACTCCACACAGAGTTCTAAGTGATGTCCACATATGTATTCACATAATTATTTTTTCTGGTTGAGTTCCAATGTTGAATAAATCAAGGGGAAATATATGTATGATACTTAAATCATGTCATTTGATTTTTCAATGTTAAGAAAATATTTGGGGGCAGTAGATTGAATTTATATTCAAAAGTGTCTCTTTGTTTCTTCTTCTTTTTTTTTTTAATCTTTTTACTCAAAGGCAGGGGTGGAGTAAATGTGAAAGCCTGGGAGTATTTCCTTCTAATAATATTCTCAATGAAATTTTAAACTTGAAGTTTTTCTTTAACAGATCTGAACAAAAAGGACTTCATCAGGTAGGTCACAAAGCTGTTAAACATTGGGAATCAGAACCATAATGATGCTCCAAATTAGCTTCCCCAAGGAGGAGACTCTGGCCGCAGCCTTTGTTAAGTGCTGTAATGTGTAGTGAGTAAAATGAATTATTCATGTAATACTTGAGCCTACTCTGGGAATTTCTGAAGGACTCCAGGAGAAAAATATGATTTGTCTTTCAGGTGATGAGAAGAATCTGGATCCTAAATTCAAGTAAATAATACAATCCAAGAGCAGCTTGCATTGATTTCATAACCTTTAGAATTACTCCCCCTCAGTTAAAGCAGAGGAATGTAATTTAATCAATTGGGTAAAAACCTGTGCCGATTATGTGAACACTCCTGAATTCTCAGAGGTGGTACTTCCATTTCTGATGCATGATATGCATTTGGCTTGCCTTTAAGTACACAACTGCTGCTATTTGTGTATGTGAATTATTTCTCCTATAACAAGGCCAGAATAAGAGTTGGGAATTTAATTCAAATGAAGTATTAATAATAGGAGCAACACTTTTAATGTCATACAAAAGTGTCATTGGTAACTTAAAAGGTAAATTGTCACAAAGCATTCTTCTTCTCCCTAAATACCTTCAAATTCCAATCTCACCATGAAATTTTCCATCAAATTATTTTCTAACATGTTACCAATGGAAGGGATGAAATTCAAGTGAGATTTGATGCTCACGTACTTGAGATTGCTTAAAAATCCTATTGTTGTTTCTCTAAGAGATCATACAACAGATGTTTATTCCCTTTTCTTTGGAAACTTGGTGGAACAAATAACCTTGTGATGCTTCCAAAAAAGCAGGGATTTATTCAACCTGCCTTATTTGTACTTAGGTGTTATTTTGGAGAAAAAAAACAGCTTTCCTTTTAAAAAATTAAGAAAATATGAACCCAAGATGATCTGACTTTAAGACATTACTCAATAAAGTAATGTTCTTTAACCCTTCAGGACTGAAAACTGTCTTAGTAAATGGAAGATTATTAGGAATGTCTCCCTTTCTCCCTTTGGAATGACAAAGGATTAATGAACATATATTAAGGAGCACCATTTCTCAGGCTTGGGGAGACGCAGACAACTGGAAGGTCCCACATTGCCTTCATTCCCACTGACCTCCCAATGACCCCTGCTTCCTCCTCTTTCTTCCGTGCGAGTAAACCCTAAGCCAACTTCTACGATGCTAAAGGCAGTGCCATCCTCCATGTCATGCTGCGTAGCTTACAGGAGAGAGAAAGGCAAAGTTCTGGAATAAAGCCTTTCCTGAGACCTTGCCACCTGCCCACAAAATGGAGCTCCTCAGAGCAGAAGGTAGCAGCAGATCAGTATCTACTTGGCCAGCTAGTGGAGGCAGACCAAGCCCTACCTTAGACATCCCGAGTTGTCCCATGCTGAGAAGTGGACTTAGTGTACTCTTCCCATCCAAACATGGCCTCAAAGTGAACAGAGCCATCCTTGGAGATAAGATGACAGAAGGGGAAGAAAAGGAGTCCAAGATATAGGGTTTGACAGTGCTGTGTCCTGAGCACTGAGTCCAGAGCACTGGCCCCATGTCTTTTCCTGCACGCCAGTCCCTGGATCAGTTTGTCTCCCTTGGTTGGTATCCATCTCTGTGATGAAATGTTAACCCTTTTTCCCCTCTAATTGTGCCTCTAAACATTTCATTCTTTTGGTAGAGACCTAGAAACTCTAATACAATATAAATACCTCTAAAAAAACCTTCATATTTGCACATCGTGGAACTTTGCCAGTAAAGAGTAAGCTCTCTGAGGGTAAGAAGCATGTCCATTTCTGCTCTTCCTGAAAACCCAGTGGCTCACACAGCACCTGACACAGAGTTGCTGTTTAACAAATACATTAGGATAATTAGGGGTTCTCAAGCTTTGGTGGGTATGAGATTCACCTAAAGGTCCTGTTCGGGCACAGATTGCTGAGCCCACCCCTAGTTTCTTTTTTATGAAATCTGGGATGGAATCTGAGAATCTGTATATCTAACAACTTCCCTGGTGGTACTGATGATGCTGGTCCAGAGGCCACATTTTAAGAACTTTTGTGTTAAGCCACATGAAATGACCATTTTTCTTGGTCCACAATGTCCAAATATTAGCAATTTCATATGGTTCAACCTCATATGTTTATGAGTTAATATTTATGAACAAATCGTTAAATATAATGTAGGTATTTATATTCTTTCTTGAGCTTACTCCTGTTCAAAAGCAAGCAAAAGTGTACATGGAAAACTAGATAGCATGGGCTCAGGAGCCAGACTGACCTACATTTGAATTCTTACTCTGAAATTTACTGGGTGGGAAGCCCCAGGTAAATAACTTATCTTTCTGTATCCTCAGTTTTCTGACCTCTAAAATGAGGGCGATCAACTTGCTCTGAGGATTGGATAATATAATGTTTGAAAAACACTTGCATTGTACCTGCCATCTGTCAGATATCCAACAAAGAGTAACCATCATCATTATTAATTTCACTGTTATTATTATCTTCACATTGGGCTGCACTCTAGAGGTTAGAATACAGCATATTCTTTTATGTGTTTTATTTGGGGATGAAGTGAACCGGAATTAGGAAAGGCTGCTTGAGGGTCATCTGAGAAGAGCAATGTCTCATCCTGCCAAGGAAAACATTTTTGTTACAGCATGCAACACCTGCTTTGGTTCTGACAGTGTGATTGGAGAATCTCACATCCCAATCAAACAGTAGTGAAATTCAACTACATTCAAGTTGTTGAAGTGAAAGGAACATAAGGCAGGGTCAGAAGCCTAAAGCAACTTCAAATTCCTCAATATTTAGGACATTTGGAACAAATTACTTAACCTCTCTCAGCCTGTTTCTTCCTCTGTGAAGGGGAATTAATGGCACCCAGTTTCTAGGCTTATGATAGGGACTAATGAATACTGCGTGTGTAAATGCATATAAAATGCAAAGCACTATACAATTATTATCTACTTGTGTAGAGAGACAGTCTCAGTTTCAGCCACACTATTGCTCCGTCCCTCTAAATCCACCCTCACATGTCAGAACTGTGTGTTAATATTTGGTCTATAAAATATGTCCACTGTAGCTGTAGAGAATCTCTCTCTCAGGACCTCAGCCACCTTTGTATGTTCCCAAGAGGCCCAAATACCTCCACCCCTCCCTAGCCTCTTTGCACAGGCCTGAATGAGCTCTTAATTATTGAATGAAGCTACTGGCTACACAAAGAAAGAGCTACACTGAGATAAGGGTGGTTGTAGGTAGAAAGAACTGTAAATGGGTCCTGGAAAGGTGAAAGGTGTGAGGAATAGGTCCTACATCCATGGGGAGAATAGATCATGTGACAGGAAAAGTAAGAAAACTAAATAAAACCTGCTCGTGCCTCAGTTGAGAAAAAAGAAAAACAAAAAGTCATCATAGCTGTCTACCCCAGAAAAAGAGTCAGATAAGAGTAAGTAAGAGGAAGATTAGTGAAGGATGTGTAAGAGTCTTTCTTCTTTCCTATTTTGGCAGAGTTAAGATACACCTCTACTCTTAAAGGCCAGGGAAGTCATGTAGACATTATATTAAAAATATTATTAACAGCCTACTCAATAAATTCTGATAAAGATTTTCCATCCTCTCGCCATGTCATAGTGACCCTGCTACTGGGGCTTTCAAATAAATGAGAGAAAATTGAAAATTACATGAGTTTGAGGACTCATTTTATTTTGGATTTTATACATGTCACTTTGCAGATGCTGTTCAAATTGCTATTTTTCATTCAACTGATGTTGAGAGAATTGACCCTTCTTTTAGGAGAGTTTAAGGGGAAAGGAACAAACAGGGTAATCGATAACAGGGGTTTGCAGAAAAAGCAAAGTGGTCTCCTCTCCCACCTTCCTTCCCTGCCTAACTATCACCCTCACAGAAAGCCCCAACCACCCCCACCATACTCCCTTGGAAAGATCAGGTGGACAGATGTCTTTTGTGACCAAGCAACCTGGAAAAAGGAAAATGAAGAAACAAAAGACAATCGTTTGCAACATTTAGAGTCTTTGACGTCTGTAGAGCAGTATTCTGGTTCATGGAAACCCAAATCTAAGGTTTTACAAATGTCGATAGAAAAACTATCTTCACCCCACCCCTCGATACGTAATCTAGTACCAGTCCATAAAAGGGCTGTTAAACTCTGCACTGAGCACTTAATAAAAATGGACACTTTTATCCACTGCCAGAAAGCAACAAAAGAACTCCTGTATGTCTGTGGAGATTCTAGGATTATGTTTAAATGGATAATAGAAAGACAAACACTTGCTAAAATACTGTCTGTTACTCCCAGAATCACTATACTAATACCCAAGCCAACCAGCACAGAAAAGCCTTAACACACCATGCAATTCAGCTGCAATTCATCACTGCTGCTATAATTACAGGTGCCTGCCTGCCTTCCTCCTCTCAGATCTGTGGATAAAAGCCTAGGGCTGAATTTGTATCTCAGCTGCACAGAAGCTGACGCTAGTAGTCAATAAACACACAGAACTCTGCATTTGAGAGACAGTCTGTTGTAGAACATAGAGCTAACCTATTGTTCAACAGTTCTTCCACACCCAGATTTTCAGGATAACAAAAAAGAAAGGGAAGTTTTTGGATGTTTTCTACATGCAAGGACTTTATTTCTCAAATAAGAAAAGTGACATTCAAATGTTGAGTAACTTGACTAAGGTTACACACTTTGTAAGTGGTGGAATTTCTCCTAGAATCCCAATCTTTCTGACCACATTTTCCGTGCCTTTTCTAGATCAGATCCTACTATTGCCAGAAGCAATAGTAGGTTATTAGCAACTGGTTGGGTTCTCATAACTTGCAAAAGCCTCTCAAAGGCTAACATACGGCAATATTTAAGTAATTCTACGCCCACATCCTTTTAGGGGGAGGTGGAGTGATTAAGATTTAGGATTCCACTGTGATTATATCTGTGTGCAGGCAAAGTAGAAAATGCAGAACTTAAAGGCAGCCTAAATGTGTTAAAGACAAATCTGATTGACTAGAGGAGGCATGTTTAGGAGGGCACAGAGCAGCAACACCTAGAATTTCTAGAATCTCTATCTTATTCAAATGGGACTGAAAACATTTGTGCTGAGGTTGTATAGGCTCCATTAGAAGATGGGAATGATGCCCACAAGCCACATGGAACTTCACCTTCTTACATACATGTAAGTCACTGATATGGTTTGGCTGTGTCCCCAACCAAATCTCATCTTGAATTGTAGCTCCCCTAATCCCCACATGTTGTGGGAGGGACCTGGTGGGAGGTGATTGAATCATGGTGGCATGTTTTTCCCATGCAATTCTCATGATAGTGAATAAGTCTCATGAGATCTGATGATTTCATAAAGGGCAGTTCCCCTGCACACATTCTCGTGCCTGCTGCCAGTAGCTTTGCTCCTCCTTCAACTTCCGCCATGATTGTGAGGCCTCCCTAGCCATGTGGAACTGTGAGTCAATTAAACCGCTTTCCTTTATAAATTACCCAGTCTTAGGTATGTCTTTATTAGCAGCATGAGAACAGACTAGCACAGTCACCTTTAGGCATTTTTGCTGCACTAACATTGAAACTACTTCCTTTTTTCTGAGCAGGCCAAGATGTAACTCCTTCCAATGATGAAGGCTTCTCCCAAATATAGAGCCCAAGAGCTAATCACCACCAATTTCCTACTCCATAGATGACAACATTAGTCTGTCTCAAAGGCAATGGCCACACATTTTTATATCATTTTACTAGGGACTTAATGGATGTTTAATGTGTCCAATTTTTAAAAATATGATCTATAATTAAAAGAACAAATAAATCCACTATTATAAAGAATATCTCTTAAAGGAAAAACTGGGTAAACTCACCTAGCAACAAACCCTGAGGAATTATCCATTTCAAAATGTTAATTGTTATGTGGAAGTGGTTTTTGAAGTTCAATTTAATTTCCTGAAAGCCCCAAACAACTTCATTTCCCTAAAGAAAATAATTAAGCATCAGAGATGACAATGTGATTAGCAAGTGAGACACCTGGAATTTGCTTAACAAATCAAAAAGCAAAGAGAAGTCTGATTTTAAAACTGCTGCTGCTCCTCCCCTGCCCCAGCCTCACCAGTACTGACACTGAGGAGACATCCCAGGAAGCAAGCAGGGAGAGGCAGGCCACACTCCTCAGCCTCAGACCAGCCTCAGACCAGCTCCTTCTTCTCCCCTCTAACACGGATCACGCCTAGCCTACAATTGTAGAAAACTACAGATATTCTTATGTTATCCCGTAAGTTCCCATCTAAATGTCTGTTTCCTGTCTCCACAGATCACAAGGCTCCTGGTTGACAAACTGGCCCTTTGTGTTCCTAAAGGCCACCTCACTGGCCTAAAACACTTCACAGGACTTCTGCAGGGGTCCAACCACCCTTGAAGAGACAGGATAAGACCTGGAAGCATCAGATCTAAATTAGCTGAAACAATTACAGAAATCAAGTACTTTCTGTGGTGAAATTAATTAAATGATTGATTGATTGATTGACTGGTTATGCTAGCACTTATTAGGGACTTAGGTGCCACACACTTTACTAAGTACTTTGCGCATTTTATCTATTTTATCTATTTTAATTCCAAGGAATACTTTTAAAGGGTAGATAATATTATCATTCCCAATTTATAGGTAAGGAAACTAAAATTTAGGAAGATTCATTAGCATATTCCAATCATATTGCTCAAAGGCCGGAGAGCCAGTTTCAAATTCAGGTATATATGATTCTAAAACCCAAGCAATAGAGGGATTGGTAAATAAATTATAAGCACCTCTGTAATACAAATTCAGACACTTAAAAATTGTTATGGAAAAATACGGCCGGGCGCGGTGGCTCAAGGCTCTAATCCCAGCACTTTGGGAGGCCGAGGCGGGTGGATCACGAGGTCAGGAGATCAAGACTATCCTGGCTAACAAGGTGAAACCCCGTCTCTACTAAATATACAAAAAATTAGCCGGGTGTGGTGGCGGGCGCCTGTATTCACAGCTACTTGTGAGGCTGAGGCAGGAGAATGGCGTGAACCCAGGGGGCAGAGCTTGCAGTGAGCCGAGATCGCGCCACTGCACTCCAGCCTGGGCGACAGAGCAAGACGCCGTCTCAAAAAAAAAAAAAAAAAAAAAAAGTTATGGAAAAATACTTGACGACAGAAAAATGTCCACAATAAAGGGTTAAATGAAAAAAATTAACAAAACATATACAGTAAGATCAAGGATAAATATAAAATATTACTTATGGTGAGATAATGGGTGATATTTATTTATAATTTTCTATATATTTTCTATTTTCTACAATAAACATGTATTACGTTTTAAATCAACCAAAATATTTGTTTTAATTTTTAACAAGAATTAATAGAAACAAAATGATAACAGTGATTATAGCTGCATGGTGTAATTATGGGAGGTTTTATTTTCACTTTCACACTTCATATTTTCCAAATAAGCTACAATGCATTACTTTATAACAACACACACACACACCCCACACACCACACACATATACACACCACACACCACACACACATACACACACACACACACACACACAAGTTTAAAACTCTACAGAGCTTTTTTCTGAAATATTTAGTCAGATGCTTGTGGCAGAGACTACCAGTGGTCTTTCAACGTGCATATCCCATATCTTCTACAAGAAAAGACCCTGAGATGTTTCAGCTGGGTACATTTTCCATAAGAGGAACTCAATTCCCAGCCTTCTGTGCACCAGGGAATAGCTATTTGACTAATGGGATGTGAGGTAAAATGACGTGTGCAACATCTAAAACGTGTCCATCCTGCTGCTGGGAGGGTATCTGCGATCACTACAGCATCCTTTTAGATCATGCAAAACAACATTCCTTAAAGATGTAGACTAGAGAGCTGGAAACAGCATAGACCCCAGAAACTTACAGATCCAGCATACCATCCCTGAAATACCCAAATCTGCAGAGAGACATGAGAAGTGAACAACTACCTTTTGTTTTTGCTTTGGGGACTTCCAGGGGGGATCTGTGATATGTCACCGAATCTACATCCTGACAAATACAGTAACTAAACACTTAAAATAATTTGGACTAGTTTTAAAAATAATTTCATATATATAATCATATAAAAATACAGAAGAAATAAATTAATGGCATCACTATGATTTGATACTAGAGGTCTAGTTGAGGGTTTCTGGTGCTGGGGGCAGTGGAGAAAAGGAGCACAAATGCATGGTCATTCTAATCTGATAGCAAGAATAAAACTTCTGAATGAGGTCCTCAGTGGATCCAAGTCTTAGCACAAGATGCAAACAACAGGTTTAGAAATACTTTATTCTAAGAACTGCTAGATGCCTCCCTTCATGTTAGAATATTTACATATTATTGTGTGCACTTGTCACACTGTTTTGTATTTATGTGGTTACCTATGTCTATAGAATATGATATCCTTCTTGATGCAGAGACCAGTTCTTTTTATTTTCAAATTATTGGTGTCCTATTGCTCAGTCAAGTGTCTGGCACATGGGTAAGCAGTTAAACATTTGTTAAATGAATGATTGAAAGAATAAATAAATGAACAAATGGCAAATTTTATGACTGGTTGCTTGTATAAATAAAGACTTGAACAAATAGCAAATTGTATGACTGGTTGCTTGTATAAATAAAGACTTGAAAATATAATAGTTGTGTATATATCATAGTATAAACTCTAAATGTTAGACAATAATCATCTTCAAATATAAATACATATTGATAAATTACATTAATTGTGGATTTCTTTAAGGTTACTAAGATAATCCTTCAATTATAATAAGAAATTGAATTGAAATACTGAAACAGAACCTATAGAATGAAACTGAAACATATACATCTTGATGCCATTCAGAACAAAAACAATCAGGATCTCATTAGGATCCCCCATGTAATGTATTTCTAAAAATAATCAAGCATGTTTTAGATAAATTTTTATATTTACTGAAAGTTTTAATTATATCTTGCTTTTTCAATTACTTTGTTATGCAAATAATTAAAAAACCAGACAAGACACCAATGCTGAATAAATATTTGGTGAAATGAATGGCAATTTAAATAGAAAATGGAAATGAAATTGAAAGAGTTAATAGGAAACTTTCAGCATCTTCCTTCACAATCAACACATAAAGCATTTGTTTGTTGTCTGGTAAATAAATTTAACTTCATCTCTCTTTCTTGAAGAATAACACCCCCAACACACAAAGAGAGGAAGGGAGGGAGGGGTGAGAGAGAGAGAAATTATACTAAATAGGGGTTTAAATAGGGGTTTGTTATTAAGATATAGCTATTTTTTGTAGCCAAGTTTAGTCATCTTACACATAGTACAGAGAAACAATAAACAAATTTAAAGGTTAAAATTCTCTCCACAGTTTACTCACAAACTATACTACCTTGAAATAGGTAAAATTCTATCCTAGTTTTGTATTTTAAATGCTGATATAGTCTGGCTACCTGCCAGGAATTAAAACATGTATGAAATTCAAAGAACCTTGGGAAAACCTTTCCATTAACATTTACTTGTGGCTATCGGGTTTAGTAAAGTCAGACTCTTACCTAAAGAAAATAAATGAATTATTATTCTGTGTTGTGAATTTTTTTTCACATTCTACATTTACGTATATCAATTTATCCCGTACCAATAGAAAGGTCAAAGGTATAGTAATCCTAGAACCATAATTAGATGAATATATATGAATGTAAGCTACTGTGAAATTTATATCATGTAGAAGGATTTTTCATAGTTTGTCTTCCAGAGAACTGCACACCACTGGATGCATTTTCTTGAAATTACATATTTACATGCTCTCAATTGCTAAATCACCTATGAATAATTTATTATTAAAAGAATTGAAAATATTTAGACACATATTGCTAAACATAGCTGAGTCCAAAAAGAAAGCTTCTGAGAAATAATGAAGTTAACTTGAGTTTTTTCTTCAATATTTATCTTAAAATTTCCATTAGCATGTGATTATCATGATATTAATACTTTGGAATCTCTATCCAACCTATAATCATGCTACTTTTAAATCATACTGTCAGTAAAGTGTCTCCTATACAGAAGTCTGTATCTAGATGGCAAGTTTAATTATAGGAATATATTTAACAAACGTATGTGTTTCACCGAGGAGGCAATCAATACAGAAAACACTTAGATATCAATAATTTAGACAGATAAAAACCATTTTTATTTCAATACTAAATCAGTATATGCAATTATTAACAATTTATCTACCTAAAACAAATATATAAGAATATTCTGGTTTAATTCCAAATGTAGTGTCCACATTTTATGTCTCAGCACCATGATGTAACAAAGGTCCAGAGAGTATAATCAGAGCATTAGGGATGGGAATGGGGGTGCCATGGTATTGTCCAAGAGATTTCCATGTTTTCTAATAAATACCATCTAGGCTGGACATTATTTTCAGCCTAGATTCTGGACCATTAGGATGTATTCATGGCAACTGAAAAGTTGGAATCCTCTCAACTACAGCAAATGTCTGCTGGAGTTCTTTTTCTAAGTCTGGGAAAACAAAGTTTTAAAATAATCTATTAGGGGATCCTTTAGTGTGGGAGATTGAGAGAGGAAAGTCTCACAACCATACATCATATTAGACATTATTTATAAAACAACACCTGTTTAAGATCCCTTTGGGCTATGGGGTTGGTTGTGTGGATATAAATATTCTAAATGATTAGGTTTTAAAGAATAAGCCCTTGAGTGGTGTTCTGAGAGTCCAACACTCTGTGTTCTGTGAAGAATTATAAAATATCTAAGCCCCAACTGTTATCTACAACATTTACTCATTGTTTTTCATCATCTAGACATGATTATCAACTGCTAATTCCGAAAGCTGATGCCGCTGCTCATTATAAATAGAAGAATCATAAACTTAAAGGTCAAAAACTTCTTAGGATTATCTAGCACAGTGTGTGAGATCTTTATTTTGTTTAAGTACAGTTACTTTGGTAAAATAAATAAAGGGACTAAGAACCACCACATAGAACTATGCAGTTATGCACTTGTAACATGCTAACTAAATCTAGTAACATATTAAACTATAGAATTTCTAGGTTTGGGGACCAGACATTTAAATTATGTAAAGCCCCTTTCCTCTGATATAAAGTTTGAGAACCACTGATTAGATCAAATTATCTTGTCAATGTTTGAATTTATTCTGCAGAATGCCTATCTAAAACATATCTTTGCAGGAGGCAAAACTTGAATTAGATTTTGAAAGATAGTTGATACATGGAAGAGCAAAAGAAAGAGAAATGAATTTAAGGGAACAAGCTGAAGATGAATCATTGGAAGATCACCCCTAATCTCCAGGAAGTCTTCCTGAGTGATCAACCCAGAATCCTTAGGGAAAGATGAAAGAATGGGACACCTTTCTTCACCCATTAGAGGCAAAAATTCAAAAATATTCTTCATATATTCCAACATCCGCTCTGCATCATGGGAAGGCTGTTTCCAGAAACACAAAAACTAGACTTGAGCTTAAGCTAGGAGATTGTTTTTCAAACTGTGCTTAGTCTAGTTGCCCTTCAGATAAACGTAAAAATCTTGAGACTGATTGTCCTCCACCTTACCCTTGACAGTTGCAAATTACTGATTAAAAACTAAGTATCTTCAACAGTCAGGCAATTTTCCCAATAAACTTTACATTTTTTTAACTTTGACTTTAGGTTCAGGGGTACATGTGCAGGCTTGTAATACAGGTAAATTGCATGTCGCTGGGATTTTGTGTACAGAGTATTTATACATTGAAGTTTAAAATTTTTTAATTTTGCAAATATAAAATTGTATTTAAGTTCAATACACCTTTTCAAATGGTCCTGTGGATTCTCTGGCATGGTACCACTGCTCAAGGAGGTGTAGGTTGTCCTCTCTTGTCTCTCCCTAGACACTTCTATGCTGATCCCCCAACACTGGGCTAGATCTTTTTTTTTAAGTCAGTTTAGAGGACACTTAAGGAAGAATGCTGAGGTTAGTGGTCTAGGGGTGGTACCAAAATCTGTTCTACCTTAAAAAGTAAGCACCAGAAAAATTGCCTAAGCAGCCAATATAACAACTGGAAAGTCCCATACATCCATCTCAAACAACTGTAGCAAATCCAAGTGTTTATGAAACTTTCCTGAATCAACACAAATGGATCAAAGATAGTTATTTATATGTTTGCAAACCTTGAAATAACTAAAAGTTCATCATAGGCAGATGCATAAAGAATGATGTATATATAAAAATCAGAAAATACTTGTGTAGGTAAACTAGAACAATATACTTATGAAAAAGTGAAAAAAATTTAAACCACAGAACTTGGCATGATTTCTTTGTTCATTATTTGTTTTCAGTTTTGGTTTGTTTCTTCTGATGTTGTATATATTTGAGAACACCAATTAAAGTCATGATGTTTAAGGAAGAAAAAGAAACTACAGACTTACTCTTCTATCAAGTAACTAAATCAGAAGTTTGTTCTATTAGTTAATAAATCCTTACCAACCTATTTGTAATAATTGAGGTATATTTCAAGGAAGATTTTTAATGAATAATTTAGAAAAGCTGATTTTCTTAAATATACACAGTTTAAGAAGTTAGATACAATATTCATGAGTGATAATAAATATTATTTTATTCCACACATACACAGTAAATAAACAATTTTTTTTCAACTCTAAAAGGCCTTTTCTGCTAATAAACTCAGAGCTCTACACATTTTCCTATTAAATCCAACATTATCTATTATCCTTGGAAGTTAAACAGGTAGCAAATAATACTCATTCTTCAGACAGGAAAGTCAAGGGCCAGAAAGATTTACTTATTTTTCCTAATTTATGAATATTAGATGACAAAATCAAGAGTAAAATTCATGACCCAAACAACTAAATTCACGGTCTAACATCCTGAGTTTGTGTAGAATCAGAAAATATTACTAAAAATAAATCTATTCTACTAAAGTTGTCTTAACTTTTAATTCTATTTATTTTAAATTCTGATTTTAAATAATTGATAGACATATTATGTATATACATTCATGAGTGCTTAACAACAGGAATACATTCTTAGAAATGCATCGTTAGGTGATTTCATCATTGTGTGAACATCACAGAGTGTACTTACCCAAACCTAAATGGTATAGCCTACTATATACCTAGGCTATATGTTACAGCCAATTGCTCCTAGGCTGCAAACCTGTCTAGTATGTTACTCTGCTGGATATGGCAGGCAATCAGAACACAATGGTAAATATTTGTGTATCTAAACATTTCTACACAGAATATATACAGTAAAAATATGGTATTATAATCTTAACTGTACACACACACACACACACACACACACACACACACACACACACACATACACAATGTTTCAGGTAATAGAAATGTCTTGGAACTAAACATAAAACATTGAGAATTCCTTGGGGGCAATTTACTGTATCCCTCAAAGATGTATATAGTACTTGTAAATTGTTCTCTAATGCATTTTCCTTAAGATTAATTGGTAACTTTTCCTTGCTTAATCATTTGATCTGGCCATGTCTTAAGAAGACATTCCTTTATTTCCTTTCAGAATTTTGCTTTGGAATTATCTGGGTGATGTTTAATTTTATATGTCAACTTGATTAGGCCGTGGGTGCCTAATGGGGTGCCCAGCCATTTGGTCAAACAATTTGGGTGTGTCTGTGAGGGTGTTCTGGTATGAAATTAGCATCTGAATCAGTAAAATAGTAGATGGAGCAAAGAAGATTGCCCTCCGTAATGTGGGTGGGTTTCATCCGCTCAGTTGAATGCCTGAATAGAGTGAAAAGACTGACCCTCCTGAGAAAAAAAGGGAATTCCTCCTGCCTCACTGCCTTCAAGCCTGGGTTTTCTTTTTCTTTTTTTCTTCATGCCTTTGGGTTCAAAATGAAACACTGAATCTTCCTGGACCTCAAGTCTGCTGGTCTTCAGGCTAGAATTATACCACTGGGTCTCTAGCTTTCCAACTGCAGATCTTAGGACTTCTTAGCATCCATAATACCATAATCATGTAAGCCAATTACTTATAATAAATACCCACACCCTCCTCTTCTCTCTCTCTCTCTCTCTCTCACTTCCTCCCTGCTGCATGTGTGTATGTGTGTTTTCTATTTCTCTGGAGAATTTTGACTAACATAATCTTTGATCTGAGCTCAAGAACTTCTTAAAGGTTTCAGTGATCAAGGACCAAGATGTGTCTTTTGCTTCCATTTCAGTAAGAGAAAGAAGATCCACTTATTCTTCATAAAATGTAAGCAACACACTGCAAAATCATTTGACTGCTTATTGCACACCATGTCAAGCCCATCCTCTATTTTCAATTGCTTTCCAGTGGCTACACACAGTAGTCTAAACCCTGTAACCTAAATATTAAAGCTCTGAAAAATCAAGGCCTTATCTATGCCCCTTCAGTGCTAGCCCATTATCTGTCCCAACACTCATTTTCTTAATTTATGCCTAAATTCCTTTTCTTGTGCTGAGTCTTCCACCAATGATACATTTCCCCCTTCTTTCTACCACACAATGTTTTCAGGCACCAGCCAGAATCCTATCTCTTCTGGAAAAACTTAAGCCCGCAATAATCTCATTTAAACAACTATTGTATATATTTTCTGTACCATACAATTGGTACTTTAATATGTACATATCTTTTCTCTTTAACTGGATTACACAATCCTTAATATCAGAAGCTAAGTCTTAGAATTCTGTTTTCCAAATGCCTGCCACATAATATGTGCTCACTTTAATATTGTTGAATGAATGGATGCAGCAAAAGCTTTGACACTGAGTAAAGGAACAAGTAAGCAGGTATGCAAGAGGCTGATAGAGCTACACATTAAGGAAAAAAAAAGAGAAAAGAGCAATAACCCATGAGATAATGTACTAGGAAAGAAAAGGTAAAGGAAACAAAGTAGACACATTTCTAGGGGAGCTACCAGATTTCTTTCTAAAATGGATTCAAAGCACAGGGAGTCAGAGGCTACACTGAAAAAAACAGCAAAATTCAGTTTTTTGAATTTTGGCAGCCAGGGTAATCATGTTTTGGTATAAAATCTGACATTAATTGCAATTTAGAACAAGCTATTTAACTGTCCTTGGCAATTCACCTCTAAACTTAAGACTCTAAACGTGGGGACCTTTGAGTTCCCCTTTAGCTTAGATAATCCAGGATTCTATAGTTTTCATTCATTTTGAGAGAGTTCCCATTTCATTTCTTCTGGGGAAGGAAGGACCCGAATGTACTAAAATCTATGATGAATTGAATGCAGGAAGCTTCAGAAAGTAAAGGGAGAGGTAAGAAAGGAAGGATTAAATGACAACATAAAATAGACCAAATAGCTATGAATATACTGAAATTTCAGAAGCAGAACATTACTTTAATATTTGTTTTGTTTATTTGATCATGTTAGCACAATATTCTCATTGTGCTAGGTCAAGGACTTAGACTGAGACTGAGCTGGAGACACAAATGAGAGCTAGAGGCAACATCTTCCAAATTCTTACTTTAGTTTAATAATAGAAAAGTAGCTAATTGATTGAAAAGGAGGTAAAAAGCATTAAAAATCATTTTGATTGGAGAAAATGTCAATGTAAGAATATAATTTACATCTTATTTAAAATAATCACTTATGCTAAAAGATTTGGATTAATACAAGCAAAATATCAATTTACAAAGCATTGGGATGTCTGGCGGTAAATTTGAAAAAGACTGTGTATCAAATGTCATTTAACTTCTCTCTTTTCTCAGCCTCCCTTCCACACCCATGCTAATCACTCAGCACTCCCTTAGGCACCCAGTATTTTCTTCTGTATCTGAGCATCTCTGTCACAGACAGTATCGATCGATCCTAATAAACTCATCCTAACTCTACAGTCTTGAGACTATGTGTTCCTCTTCCAGAATATACTTGTCTTAAAATAAGGCCATGGAACAGGGCAATACTTAACCAAAAAGAAAGACTGATAGAAGTATATGTATCAGTAGAAAAAATAACTAAAAGACATACCCTCCCCAAACCCTTTCAGATCTTCACAAATGGCCCTGCTGTCTAGTGACCTTTCTACTAAATCCAGAAAAGAATTTTCAGTTTTTAGCTAAGAAAATAAAGAGTTTAAATTAATCTATAGGCAGAAACCTAAAAACCAAATACTATATCTGAATGCTGCTATCTTTGAAGAGGATTCTCAAAGCCCAAATGCAAAAGTAAAATTAAAAATTAAAAAAAAAATCCTGCAGAAAAGTTTTTAGAGTCTTTTCTAAACTCCCCACTCACTTTACCACAAATTAGTTTTATCAGGTTAGGTAACTGTCACTTTGAAAATACAAGAATATAACATAGTTTGCTTTAAGGGTGTGAGGCAAGAGGCAAATAAACCTTACTTATTTGGTGATCAAAGAGATGTGAGGGAAGCAGGTGTGCCTTAGAGGAACTGTGAAATGTGAATGGGCGAGAAGGTAAAAATGAGACCACATCCCCCCTCACCTGCTGTATGCTTTTGCTGTTTACAAATCTGAAGTTTAAAAGCTTTTTTCAAAATTGTATACAATTAAAATTTGGGAGATTTTTATACAAAAATTTGGTTTCATGTTATTCTAGAAATATCTAAGGAACTGACAACTCTGAGTCGGCAATGCCACATGGCAAGAAACAGGTGGAGTGAATAATCTCATATGTGACTGAGGCTTGACTTTCACCTTGGGACTGATTGTACTTCAATGTTCCCAATGTTAAGCAGTGATCTACCCTTTCTTCAGGGGCAGAAGGGACTTACTACATTGAAGTTTAATAATCTGAATATAGAAGTTTCAGCAAGAAAAAAGGTCAGGATTTTAAAAACAACCTAAAATAGATCAAATACCTATTACTCTATTGAAACTGCAGAAAGAATATTCCTTTATTGTCTCTGTGGTTTCTCTACTACTGACAAGCTTTCTTTATATGAAAAAATACCAACAATCAAATTTTAAAAGAAAAGTCAAATTTTCTTTCAGTTATAGAACATAGAGAATTTATCATCAACACTTACCCTTCAACACACTGTATATGCTCAATTTTAAATGCCTTTTTTTTTTCAAATGAGAAAGATCTATAATTCCATTTATTAAATCAGCTCTTAAAAATGTTTTATTATTGAAACTTGGTCCTAAACCTAGGTTCACAGTATATGATAAAGGTTTGAAGAAAGCTTATTTAACCTACATTAAATCTTGATAATGCATTAATGAGTCTTTTAAAGGGATAATTTTAATTCCCCAATCTTCAACCATAAAGACTATATAGTGCTAATCTGCCTTGCCCTTTCAATTAAACTTGTTAAGGGCGTTCTATTTAGTCAGCACCCTGAATGGACCATTAAAATTCTTGTTCGGTAAGAGTTGTGTTCTGTGCTCTGTTGTTTTAAATTCCATTAAATCCAAATGGTCTTTATCGCCCCATGACCGCTGTGACTTCAATCAGCCAATTTAATTACCTTACAAAATTGTCAGCAGAAGCAGCAAAGAAAAACAGGAAGCCCTATGATGTTATCAGATTGAAATCTTCCTCTTCAGTGTTTAATCTAGACTAGTCAATAATGATGATGTGCACCTACTTCCTTCCCTTTCAGGGGTTTCTGACCTCACTTTTCATGCTAAGATTTAGGGTAGAAGATTCAATTGAAGCACTTCTAACACTTTGATAACTGGACTACAAATTGAAAGCCCTTTGAAGCTAAACCTTCACTACCCAAATGAAAAACAATCAACACTTAAATTTCAATATATCATACCATCCTACTGAGGAAAATCAGGGATCTCCTGCAAGCCCTAAGTATTAAGCATGCAGTAGATTAATAATTTAAGTATGTTACATTTTAAAGACAGTAAACTAGTTTCTAATCTGATGTGCAAAAATGTGCACTGACAATTTCCAGGCAATAAATGTAATTGGGGCTACCATAACAAAGTCAAATCTTAATAACTGAAGGACAAAGTGAAGTAATTTCTCTCACCTGAACGTTTAATTTCTACCACAAAAGAGCAAGGCATTTTCTTTATCAGAAATTATGATAACTAAATGGCATGAAAGATTATGTCATTGTTATCATAGACAACACTTTATGTAATGGTGAGAAAACTTGAAAAGGCTTTGATAATCAATGATACATCATCGTTTGATCTATGGTATTTTCCTTCTTCGTGTGAGAGGAATTCACATTAACTTTCCCGTGCTGAGTAAATGTTGAAAGAGTGTCATCTGAGAATTTAAGGAATGAACACATCGTAATGATCACTTGCATTAAACCAAAAAGCAAAGCTAGTCTGAAGAAATGTCTACTGACGTATAAACCATGTTCGCTTCTGAAAGACAATCTCACAAAGCCAGAAAATGTGTTGAGTTTCATGTATCTGGGTAGAGAAAGCGTGCAATTTCTAGAAGACAAAAAGATCATTTTTCAAAGTCATTTTCTGAAATGATTGTGCCTCTTTTGATGGATCACATCAAGTTATTCTTTGAAGCTTTAAGAGTAAGTGAGAACTTATGAGAAAAACTGATTTTTTTAAAGTGTGATCGTTGTGTTGGCGATTCTTGGAATGATTTCTCTCCCTTGCATTCCACAGCTCAGCTAAGCAGGTGTTCAGGCTTTATCTGTTGCAGATAGTAGCCGCTATTACTCCCCCATCCCCGCCTCCCAAGAGTCAGTTTTCCTGCTTCCAGATGTAAGGCCACTCCTCCCTCCCGCCCACCTCACCTCTCAAAGGAGGAAAAATCTCTTTCAAAGAATTTGTAGAGTGGCGGCTTGTAAGCTCAGTCTCACTATTCGATGTTGCAGTACATCTGCTACTAATTATTGTATCTGTGAGCAAATGGGATGCCCAGCAAAATAACGGGATTTCCATAGGAACACTTTCTGTTCTCTCTCACGTTGATTTTATCCCACAACGTATAGGTGGTCCCTTAAACTGGCTGTGTTCACCTTCTTCGTGTACGCAAGGAGGTGACTGTGTGATTGCTGTCCCACAAACAGGTGGTCAGTGTGCAGTGCCAAAGAGACCCCAGCGCGTCTGGGAGGGAAGACTTCTGCTGGGAAACCTTTAAGAGAGCAGTTCCACTGGCTTGTCTTTAAGAGAAAAGTTAGGTCGAAACATCAGAAGGGAAGACATGGCCTACCATATGCTCAGCAATTCGGCAAGGAAACCTTGGAGATGGTGCCCAGGAGCCTAAGTTTGGGTTGATGTCTTTGCTACTGGAGCTCTAAATTCCAGTTCAGATAAAGATTTTGAATGAAAACCTGACCTTGAAGATCGGAAACAAGTGATAGCTTGGGGAGTGATTTCTTAAAAAGGATGCTTAAACATGTGAGGGCTCCCGAACGGTGAACCCTAGGCCAGCCGGGCACACAGCCGGAGCTGGCTTCTGAGCTCCCTCGCACTTCCGTACAGGCTGGGGTCAGTGCATGCCCGGAAGAGAAGGACCGGCTAAAGTAACAAAAGAAAGGTTCAATTACCTCCGCCGCCGCAGTTCAGCTTAGAGGCCGTGGAATTGGTCACACCCCCGCGGACGGAAGAGTCCCGCCTTCACCCTATCCTGGGGCGGGCAAGGCCGGGACGCAGCTGCGGCGAAACAAAGATGCCTCATTTACATACGCTGGGACGCGCTGGATGCCCTGTGCCCGCCGCGCCAGCGCTCTGGAGACGCCTGCCTGGGAGAGTCGCAGGCTCTGCTCCCAGAAAAGCCGGCCAGAGAACATCTGGCTCGACCTAGGGCAGGAGAACTGACTCTCTAAAATGCACCTTGCCCGCCGGGTGGGCACCCAGGAAAACCCAAGTTGTCCCAACACAGGATCAAAGGCGGGGTGACAACCAAGACTCAATGTCAGGGGCTCGCCCGCCTGCCTGGAGGTGACCCTTGGTTGACCCTCAGGTCGCTGCCATAGAGCCTCGGGGCAGCACCCTAGGGTCGGTGCTCCGGATACCTTTTCTCAGAGATGTTTGCTGAGCGGCTGCAGAGGAGCAGGCCAGCCTGTGCAGCCAAGTGGGAGTCGGCTGAGGCTGGAGGTTAAGGGGGAAACAGGACAGAGACGCTCCTGGGTGTAACTGCAAAGTTTTCTTGAGCACTAGAGAGACGTCACTGTGCCAAATGCACCCGGAGGGCGCATGTGTCTTAGTGCGCGCGAGCGCGTGTCTATGTTTGAGTGTGTGTGAGAGAATGTGTGTGTGTGTATGTGTGTGTTATTGTGTGTGCCATACAGAGAGGGAGAGGGAAGCGCGGGGAAGAGGGTTGCGCACGCTGAAGACGGGCGGGGGAGGCGAGGGACGTGGCAAGGGTTCAGCACTCTAAGCGGGGGCTGCCCCTCACCTCGCAGGAGGTGACAGGAGGACGCTGGGTCGAATCACAGTCCTAGCGGGAGCAAGGGGAAGGATAACACAGAGCCTTAACTAGCGGGGAAGGGGGGCTGGGGTGGCCGCCTGGGCGGGCTCCGCCGTTGCCATAGCGCCGCGGCGGAGGCGCCTGGCGGCTGCCGGCGCCTAGCCACGCCAAGGGTGGGGGATGGAAGGGACACTGGATGCTGCCTCCCCAGCAGAGGCGGCGGGTCTCTCCACCACTGGGGCAGCTGCGCCACGTGCAACTCCAAGCTCTTCCCTTCCAAGGCACGGGTCCAGGGCATGAGGCACTGGCTGGACTTTTGAGCCAAAGTTGAAAATAACCATTCTCAAGAGTGGCTTATACGTGCTCAACCAACCATCCAATCCACTCAGAACGTGTTTATCCCAGAAGAAAATAAAACTCCCACCATTACATCAAAATAGCCCCAACAGGGAAATGTTCCAGTAACAATGTACACAGTCCTTCTTCCCCACAACTTAGGTCAGAAATCAGAAGAAATGCATCTCCACGTGGAAGATGTTTTAAGTTAACGTAGAAAACAGCAGGTTATCTAGAAGCTGGACTGTTGGTTTAGGGTTGTCAAGGGACTAGTGTGGAGATCTTTGCCTACTACCGTATTTCTTAAAGACATTTTTAGTAAGCATTGGTCTAAGAAAGCTTGTTTGTGTGTGTGTATGTGTGTGCGTGTGTGTGCGTGTGTGTGAGAGAGAGAGCTCTTTTGGAAAGCTGCTACGCACTCTGCTACAGTCGCCAAGATTTTTAATATGAAGATATGAAATGATCAGCGAGTGTAACAATCTAGTGATTCAGCAAATATTGTGCTGCAAGACCAGAGCGGCAATAATTAAATCCTTAGAGTATTGGTGGCAGTTTTCCGGCTCCAAGTCTTCTTTTTTCCATCTAGTCGGCAAACACACTTAGTAACGCACACTCATTCACAAACACACTTCAGAATTCTTCAGGATTCCACATAATTAGGATGAAATACTCGAAATATTGGGCAAACTACCATACTGTAGCACTTACCATATTTGAAGCCTAACTGCTGAAAACACACACACAAAAAACACACATGCACACACACGCGTGTGCGTACACACACATTTCCAATGGTATACGGACCTGTTTAATCCTGTCCACAGAAACAATCATTCCTGTGGATGCTTGTTGCTAAGAGCAACGTGCTTAAGTACCATCTAAAGGCATGAAAAAAGCATGAAAACTACTACAGTGGGAATCCAGCTATAACCCAGTGCCTCTTTTATCATCAGCAGGCTTTTTGACTGTGGGCATCTATGTGTATGTGTGGTCGGTGAGGTTCCCTTTTTGAATGTATGTGAAACATCCCTACCTTTGTTCTACAAAGCCTAGGAGAGATGGTGAATTTTATCATTGGGGGGATAAAACACACACATGGTAAAATGGAAAGACAGGAGATGCTGTTGGCATGATAGAAGATGCAGGCAATCACTCTTCAGTTTAAATTTGACCGAGTGACTTAATGTGTCTGCTTTTATCTCAAAGACAGATGCTCAGGATTACATGGTGTCCTGCACTCTTTGGTCTGAATCCACTTGAACTGTCAGAGGAAGTGCCTACAATGGGAGCATTTATCCTGTTGGCTTTCTCCTTTCTTCCTCTTATCTGCTTTAGGGAACTTTCCCTGACTAGTTCTGCTCCTACTAAAACTCCTTTGGCCATCCAGAGAACCTGAGCATCGCCCACGCTTCATTTTCTCCAAGCAATCACTCTGACCCTCTGACCAGGGTTTCCACTGGAATCCCACGTTTAGATTTTCCTTCAAGCTCCAAAGAAACCCTGATTCTTAGAAAAGCAATACATTTCCATAAAAAAATGTAACTACCTAACGTCTTTCGTCTTGCCAAAGTGAAAGATGCAGACTTAGTCAACCCTCCTTAAACAACTACTCTTCCCCACCGCCCCAGATACTATCCTTCATTAATTAGTCCATAACGTCCAGAAAGCTGTGAGAGGGGGACTCAGCAAGTTAAAAACAAACAAAATGCCGTTCTAATTTTGACGCTATTTCGTTCCAGCTAAGTAGCAGCCTCCCTGTGTTAAGTAGAACCTCGAATCTTAGAACATTTTTTAAAGCTCTGCATCCCAGTAAGGGCACCAGGGACTGGAAAAGCGGTGAAAACAATCGAAAAGGCTCTCTGGAAAAAGAAATCAAAAGGGTTAGTACCTTTCATTTGCACGTGAGAACTGCCCTGGTCACTGGCGGAAGCGGACAGGCGCAACTCGCCAAAGAGTTACCAGGTGTTAACTCACCAGCCCCGCAAGCTGAGAGGCGTGCAGCCCCGGCGCGCACTTTTGCGCGGACCGCGCACCCCTCCAAGCTCGCAGGGCGCCGGGGGAGACAGGCGGGAGTGGCGGCTGACCGTGCCTCCATCGTCATCATCATCTCCGTGGCAAGCTACTGTGGGGAGGTAATGCAGAGACCACTACCACACATTGGCCCTCCCTTCACCCTCCCGCGGCTAAAAATAAAAATAAAGAAGAGAAGAAATGAAAGCACAAGGAGTTCTTTAAAAGCCCCAGGAGACGACAGAGCAGTGAGCAGATCAGAATCCACGGAGCCCACCGCCAGGCAGAGCGAACCGCCTGTTTACATCCGGCTGCCTGGGAGCGGATACCAGGCAACCAAGAGAGATGGGGAATCTTACCAAATCTTAATACATGTGTGGTTCCTTGAGAATATCCAATCCACAGTAAACAGAGCAGGAGTTTAACGGTGCGCCTGAAGACTGGATTACTTAGAATCGGGAAAATAATCTTCATGGTGTTTCTGTGCCCACACGCACGGCACCCACTTCCCCGATCTAGCGTTCGGCTCCTGGGTTCGGGTAGAAATGAGGATGCGTCGAGTGGTGACCGCAGACACGATCACGGCATGGTCATAGAGAGAGGAAGGAGTCTCCGCTTCCCAAACCCATTAGCAATCGCTGCATGTTCTTCACTCACTGCGCCAAGGAACAACCTTCCACTGCAAGGAATGGTGGGACATCCATGTTAGTCGGAGAGCATCCGGGAGAAATCCAGCACGCACACCCACAATGTCCGGCCGCGCGAGCCTGTGAAAGCAGAGGAGGAGGGAAATCAGTAGGAAACCCAGCCTTGGTAACGGACGAGATGTCGATAGCGAGCCACAGCCCGGCACAAAAGGCGCTTTGCTAGCAAAGGTTTTGCCAGGCCCTATTCTACTGCACTGCTGCACAGCTTCTGACGTGAAGCCAAGATTAAGTGAGAAAGACTGAGATAGCTGCTCTCCTCTTAAGGCTCCCGGCCAGTGAGCTCCCCAATATCTATTATGCAACCGATCTGACAGCCCGCCTTGAGTTGCAAGAAAGAAGTAGGATTTATTTATGGGGAGAACATTGCTTTTATTTTCCATGAGTATTTGCTGAGAGAATGACTGGTGTATGTAAGCGGACTTCTTACAATCAACTGATGAATTTCATTAAATTACTAGCTAAATCAAAGTCAGTTTGTCTGGGAACTGTAAAAAAGAAAGTGATCTAAGACGGAGGAATTTACTGCAAATCTAACTTGTGGTTAGATTGAAAGAGTCTTATTTATACTTTTATTTTGACCAGGAATGAATATAGATTGGAATGCAATTGGAGAGGTAAACCCACTCTTTAAAAACTTGACTGGGGTATTCCTTGATTGCTACCCAGAAGTAGGAGAAATTTCTTCAGTGAACTTTTATGGGAGAAATCTCAAATTAAAATGGAGAAGTTAAATTTTCCACCCATTTTTTAAGCTCAAAGAAAATAATTGTGCATATATAAAAACAATGATGTTTGAATGGGTGCAGCAAACTCTAAAGCCTTCAATAATTTATGCCCAAATTTCTTCGTATTTTGGTTTTTTGAACATTCTTTTTCCTAAAGAGGCAGAATATGAGATCATAGCATGAGCGACATTGAGTGTTACAGATTCCTCTAAAACTGTCTTATCATTTGCTAGTTTTCTGGTAGGAATATTTAGAGTCACTAGGTAGTGACTCTCTTGGCTTTCGTTAGGAGTTTATTCAAGAAATAAAGTACAGAAATAGAATTTCTTTCAACATAAAAATACATTTTTATTATTAAAATAAGTAATATTCTGTCTATTTATTAAAAATATACAATTTTAATATTTTACACTAAGTAAAACTAACTTGTATAATAAATATATATTGTCAACATTTTTAAAAGATTAAACATCACAAAAGGCAAACTGTTGGACCTATATCTTATCATTAATCTATTTTTCATAACCAACTAACAGGGCATAGGTTAAATCTCACAAAAAAATATCCTATCTGAAGGCTAATTTTTAAATAAGGAGTGATATGAGTGATATGAATATTCGACTTGCTATTTTTTCCTCCAAACAGCAAGAAAACACTGTAATGTTTTCATTTCCTTACAGCGATTTTTTAATTTAAATTTTCTTAAGATATTATAAAGTGCTAATTTAAAGAGAAATCTACATTTTGCAAAGGCATTAAGTGGCATTGATTTTTTTTAAGATGGAGGCAATAACTGCAGTGTCAAAAATAAGTATCATGAATGGCTAGTTCTGCAGTATAGCAGGCAATTCAATCAAATAATTCGACTGTTCGAGCACCTTAAAAGGAACACCTAGTGCTAAAACCAAGGGTATCTAGCGACTCCTTCAGTCCATGTTTAAAATATCTCTTATAAAACACATACACAGCCCAACACGTTCTGTCTTCTATTTGCTGTCTCATTTATTCCATTCTGTTTGTTCATTTTCTTTTTGATCCTAGCAGAGATAATAATGACTGCCAGGGGAAAAAAATAATCCTTCACATTTTTATCTGCCAATATAACTGATATCTACTACCTGAAAATAGCATGTTTTATTGTGACTAATCAAAATACTGAAATTTCACAGTGTAGCTGGCATTTATTGGAACCTGAGAAAACAAAATGTACCACATCTCTTTGTTCATGTATTCCATTAATATAATGACATTTTACATTATGGTTGCAACTTTTGCACTTGAAACTAGTATTCTAAACTATTTATTTTGGGGGGTTATTTGGATGTCTAGTTGGAAAAGTGAAAGATCAAGCCTCTATATTCATGAAGTTATTACACAATAAATTAAACAGTTAAAAGATTGTACTTTTTTAATATTAATTGATCCCCAAAGAACCAATTTTGCACATATGGTAAATTAGATTCATTTACATCCATCAACTCAGTTGAAAGGCTTTAGCACAACAGACAGCAATTCCACCTGTCCAGTTGAACTTCTAAAAGACTGGAGACGACCTTTCTTCAGGACCACGGACAGCGCTCCTGGCATTCATTATTCTGGAGTAGTACATTGAAAGTAGCACAATAAATAACTAACATGATATTTGAGTGACAATGTGTAAATTTCTACTACACAGAGTAAAGGAATTGGAATTATTGCATTGTTCACATTATCAAGAGGACTATTTTATCAACTGTGTTGTGTGTATTTTTCAGTGCAATTGCTTGATAAGCCCAAGATGTAGTTATCTTTTTTTGTAATAGGGCATACTGTTAAAAAAACTACTTATATTAATTGTGAGATTCCTCATGAACACTAAACTACTTGATTGTCAGTACAAAAAAAAATTGCTAGAAAGACCACAATTCAGAATGCCAAATAACATGCTGTCAATATTCAGTGGCTAAAGACATTTTTTAAATGTACAATTAGTTATCACTTTCAATTCTCCACCTCCAGATTTCCATCTGTTACTAGGGTAATGAGATTAATTCTTGTTCTTTCACATTAAACTCACTCACTTCCTGGGGGGGGGGGGAATGCTAAATTTACATCCCTATACTACAATAAAATGATTTGGTGGCATAGTTGATGCCTTAACATGTGGCAATTTTGAAGTTATTACAAGTTTCTCCCCAATACTGATACCACACATCATAGTTCTGAGGTTATATGAAGGATTAATAAATTCCTTACACAGTATTTCACTGACTAGATTTAACCCTTTTAAAAATTGTGTCAGTTCTGTAATTTGCTTCTTCCTTAAAGGAAAGAGAAAACTACTGCTATTGGATATCAGGCAATTATATATACTTAGTAAGATTTATATATTTTATTCTATGGTCTCATTTTTTTCCTCATTTTAACCATATGGCACTCTTTATTTCTATGAGCCAAAGCTCTGTAGATTCCAAGGTCAAAGCAGAGATAACAAACTGCAAAAACACACATACACGCACACCCAGAGAGAAGCTGTATTTAGAAGTATACCTCAAAAAAATCATAGAAGGCTGACACAAATATCAAACCTATGATAAATTGACAAAGAAGAAAATGCATATCATGTTAATGCAAAGCTTCTTCCAACAATAACAAAAAAACCCACTAGCTTCATCTTTCACTATATTTTTATATTTGCAGATACTAATGACCTCTTATTCTTGGGCACTATTACTTGAGAAACAATTTTAGTTTCCTATTCTGCCAGTGAAAATGAATCTTATTCTAGTTAGCTGCCACCTGCTGGGGTATGAGAAAATGTGTAATAATCTTTATAGCACAACATTTAAAAAGACAATGCCTATACCTTTTGCTGGAAACAGCAAATACATACCCCAGAACAACCTGAATTTCAAAGATGTTTCAAAGGTTCTTACATGCCATAGCTATATTTAAATTTTTCACATGGAATTCTTACTAAGGATTCCACTTGACTTGTCACGGAAGTCCTGCTGTTATGTGACATTTGAAAAACCTCATCTTATAGTAACACCTAACCTATTATTCCATGCAAGTGGCCTGTTGCATAGCAATTTAGCTAAAACAAACAGCCTGTTTATACATGGCATTAAAGATCTCAGAGAATAAAGTCAGGACTGAGTCAGGTTTCAGTTGAAATCACACTGTTGCATACTTGCAACTCACTCTTCTTAACTATGCATGCTGTGGTATCCCTTATGATTCTGAACACATTATCAGCTGTTCCAGCAACATTCTGCTGCATTGATGATTAATGACATTTAGAGTTTTGATTAATTTTTAGACACTAAAATAAGTGTATCTTAATTAACAAATTGAAGTGGAATAAATTTACATATCCCAGAACTTTTTTTTTTAAATTTCAGCCTGTGTGATTTTCAATGGGTTTAAATAGGAGAAAACAAACAGATAAGACTTCCAAACATTGCTCAATTCTCTATCACCTTGCTCTTGTGCATTTCAATTTTTTGTTGTTTGTTTGACTCAAAAGTTTTTAAGGCCACTGGAAGTTGATAGGCTGCCTTGGTGGTTACAGGAATAGACTCTATAAAGTTAGAAAGTAATGAACTAAGACAAATCAAGATTGAAATACAATTGCATTTATTTCAGTAACTAAACTGACTAATTAAGACTCAAATGAACCAATCATCTCTCGTGAAATGAAAATAATCATCAATCCATAAGATAATTTCTGATGACAGAATACTTACAGTATGGAGATGAATAAACGATAGAAGATAATCTGTGCATTACCAAAAGGCTACTAATAGTAAGTTTTCTAATATTCCCCATTGCCTAAATTGGAAATTATTCTCTAAGGAGCCTCAGCTCGGTCGTGTTGTTTGGTAAAGAAACTCTATCTCCTTAAAGGTAAAAATATCAGAGGATGTGGTTCGTTAAAAGTTCTTGAGGTTTATGATCCACCCTGGTAACACTGCCCACTCCTTACCCTAATGGGACGCCCTCCAAGTTTTTTCAGAAGCTCTTAATACGGGTGCCGGTTAAAATAAATATACTTCCTCAGCGCAGAACTAAGGAGTAGGGTTAATGGAAGGATGGGTGGGCAGAAGGAGGGATGGGGAGTTCGTCAGACCCGCCGGCAGCCACACAGCTTCTTGCCATCTGTCTCATTCTCTTCGCCTCGCGTGAGTCCCCGTAGCTGAGGCCACTTCCTGACACGTCCACTTCTTAAATCATTTTATGTGGAGAACATAGGCGACTGCAGCCAACAGAGCCACTTGCATGCTTGACGGGAATTGGCTGAGATAAGCCCGACAAAGACTCGCAGTGAATCCGTCCAGCGGGCGCCCCGAGCGCACGGACGTCCGCAGCGCTACTGTTCGCCTTCTTCCTTCTCTCCAGGTGGAAAATGCCCCTCGCCCACCCGCAGTCCCTCCCGTCCTCTTGAAAACAAACACCTCGTGAAGGAGCCCGGAGTGCAGCCCACAGCCGGGGAGTCCTTACCTGGAGCTAGGGGTGAGGTGGGCGGGGAGGGGGTGGGGTGGTCCTCGGGGAGGAGCAGCCGGAGGAGGTCGGGCGGAAAAGTCCCCAGCTACCAGACCGACCAGCGCAGCCGCCGGCGCCGAGCGCGAGTGACGGCAGCGGCGAAGACGGTGACCGAGGAGCAGCAGCGGCGGCGGCGGCGGCAGAGACAGACACGCCTCCTGGCGGGGGTTCCTCGCCTCTTGCTTTAAAGGCGCCGCGCTCCTTTCCCCGTGGCCCCTGCACGCTCCTGGCCGCCGCGGCCACTCGGGGGCATCTCCCACCCCTGGACCACAGGAGCTAGAGCGAGAGAATTCCTGGTGTCCCTAGACTTGGATGTTACGAAGCCTCCGGCTGGACTTCGCTCCCTTAGCGCACACCCGCCTCCTGGGATGGGGAGACTAAGGCCAAGATGCTCTGTCAGGGAGTGAGTGATGCATGCAAAGCGCCGAGGAATTTGCCTAGCCTTGGGTGGTGACAACACATATAAGGAGCCCAAACACATTTGCTTCTGGGTGATGGCTTTTATGCCTCTCCGAAACCATAGCAACGAAACTTCTCCACTGCCAGGGCTTGGAGGGCTGCTGGTAGTCTCCAAAGTGGACCTCTTAGTCCAACTACGGTCATTTCCCTGAGGTTCGCAAAAAAAGATCTTGATCTGCGCACCCTCCCACCCCGACCTCCAGCGCATAGAGCAAATGCGCTCTGGTAGCGCTGCTGCGGGTATTCCCTCAGATGCTGGGAGTCACAGTGCCCTGCTCCCTGCCACCATTATTGAGAACAGATGCTTGGAAATTGACTTTTCCTGAGTGTTAGGAGGTCGGGCGGGCTGTCTCTGTGTATGTATGGCGCCTTAAATAGCAGACTCCCCTCTCCCCACCAAACTCCCGCCCAGGCCCCGGAACTCTCAACCTAAACACATTTCAGAAAGAAGTTGGATTCGAGATCTAGTGGGCGCCGAACCTGAGGTCGCAGACTCCAAGATTGGAGACAGGAGTCTGGGAAGCAGCCCTGGTTTGGCGGCCACTGGTCCAAGTTCTCGGGAGGACTCTTTTAAAGGCCAGAGATGGGGAGGGGCAACTGAGTCCCAGAGTCTTCCCGCAGCTTGGCTTCCAGGGAGGGGCTGGCGGCGGTGAGCGCACCAGGCTCTCCCTGCTTCACTGTGGAAACGATTAGCTTTTGCAAACAATCCCTGAGTTCCGCTCCTCTGGGTCGGAAAAGTCAACATCTATTCAAAACCGTTGCTATTTTATCCTCAGCCCTACAATATTAACTGGAGCTGAGTTTAGCAGTTTCCCCCAGAGGAAGTTGGCCAGCTCAGATTCGCGAGGAGATTTAAGTGAGGCTAAGCGGGAACAGGCCAGGCGCACTGGGCTCAAGAGACCATTTCAAACGGGCTGCATAAAGAAGGGGCCAGGGGGGATTCCACGGCTCTGCAGTCCCCTAGCAGTTCCAGTCCCTGGTGGTTCTCCACTATCTATCTAATTCCGAGGTCCGGGAATTAGAGAGGCTCTGAGTCCCCAGGGACCCGTTGTCTGAGCTGGAGACCAGAACTTGCCCTTTTGCTTCCTCCTTCACTGCAGCCCTAGTAAAGTTAAGCCCTCGCCGGACCCTGGCGCAGCAGGGCCATGTTCCACACCCTGAGGCTAGCGCCTGGCTCAGAATAGCTCTGAAACACAGAAATTCAGTCCTGCCAAAACCGCCAGTCTTTCCCTCTTGGTCACCATCCAGGACTCTCTGCGCCCCGTTCCCCACAACATGCTTACTGAGCATTCCTGGGTGGGGCAGGGTTGGGGGGAGGGGGACTGGGGACTTATGTTAAGGAGAGATGAGTTAGTGGCAATGGAGAGTCCATTAGTCATTTGAAGATCCCAGGGGTGGCTGGGCGGCTCCCTTAATTAAGTCAACAGCAGCCTTGTTCTACCCAGTAAATAAATAGTCAATGACTCTATTGTGCATCCTGGAGCGGGCAGCACAGACGCGTGACCGGTTCTGGGCGCCTGGGCTCCAGCTGCTGTGACCTGCAGCCTAATGGGCCCTCGAGGCACAGCCGAGTTTGGGCCAGGCTCCGAAAAAATGCCCCATTCTGTCCCATTCCTCCATGGGAGTAAGGAAGATAACTTGTCTACTGGCTAAAGACTCTCTCCTTGTCATGATTACATCCACCCACTTCCAGGCAGAAAGGAGCAAAACACCAGCACGAGCAGATTCCAGTGGAAATCCCTGAGTGAAGGCACCCAGCTCTTGTGACAACTCTGAGAGTGTAGAACAGAGTGTGTCTAATTTGACATTAAGTGTTTAGCATAGAGTCTGGCATGCAGTAGGTGCTGGATAAAGAATGGTACTGGGATAGACCTTCCGCTTTCCACACTGTTGCCCCCAGACCCACATTGTACTTGGGAAAGGAGAGGCTTACTAACAACTTCCTGTTAGTGCTGTGTATGATTTGAGAGCCTTGTCACGAATCTATTTTTTTGAAGCAAACAGGACACACTTGTAAAGACAGAAATAACAAGTCCCAACAACAGCATAGGAGAAAATAGGAGAGAGCTGGAGTGTAGAACAAATCAAAATTATGCATGCTGTGACAAATTAATTTTCTCAATAGCAAAATATTATCTAGATTCCAATGAGAAAAACAGACTAACAAGGGAGCATTAGACACCACACAATCTATTTAACCCTTCAAAAATAATTCAATGCTATAAAGAAATATTTTTCATGATTTATTTTAGGATTTAGGAAGTTAAACATTTAAGGAATGAGATCTCAAGTATCTTCTCGGGCAACCATGAAGCTTTTTTTTCTTTTATTTCCAATCACTCTTAAGGTTTAATCTTCTAAAATTTAGAAGGTTGCTAAGTCCTTCAGCTACAGTCTTATGCAGGAACAACATCCCTACTTACTCTCTCTTGCCCGGCTCCCGCCCTCTCTTTCTTCCCTCTCAAAGTGCTCTTAGAACATTAGCAGCTCAATATTTCAATTTCTGAAGACACAGCAAAGACCAGTCTGAATTCAAGCTAACTACCAGGATGTTTGTTTGTTTTGGCTTGATTTTGTTGAACTGAATGTAAAATTGAAAAGTATTATTTTGGATCATCTCATTAAACACCTTCATTTTATAGATGGTAAAAACCAAAGTGAGAGAAAAGGAGTGACATACTCAGGATGTGGCAGAACTGAGACTGCCTTCTAACTGTGCAGAACAGCATCAGGCCGTCTCTTGTAGTCTCTTTCAAAACTTAGACTTATATGAAGTCAAGACTTAAAGACATTTCAAGGAAATCTACTCTAGTTCAGTTTTCACAGACCTTTCTCTCATCTGAAAACAAAATGAACACATGTGCAATGACTTCAAAATTTTACATGCAATAATAGGAGATGCACAGATGCCTTGAAGGCCATCATGGGCTGGTGAGGAGCTTCTTCACCCTAAGCTGAGAACCACCAATCTATTCCAACAATGTGATTTTAGAGATGAGAAAATCTAGACAATGAGAACTTAAAGAGTCACAGAGTGAGTTAAAAATAGTTCTAGGACTAGAGACCCGGTATCTTGCTTCCCACTTATTCCCATTCCCTCAGGTCATTTTAGCCATAATTGGACATAAACATGCTGAAGAAGAAATGAACGGATGTCCTTGATTAGTCAAGAAAGGATGGGACCTAGTACAAGAAGAGGGGTTTACTTTGGAATAGGAGAAGGACCAATAAACCCTAGTAATAGGAAGGGAGGCACAGTATATAATGCAGATGTCAAATAGTTTTTAAGTGTGGTGTTGAGGGTCTATTTTTCCTACATGCGCTCCAAAGCCCTATGCTGGGCTACTTTGCTCCATAGATACCTTCCTTACCACTCTCTGCCTTCCACTATCCTAACTCTCACGCAGATGACTGTTTTGCTTGGTCTCACTTAAATAATTTAGTACTGAATTTTTCAGTAAGGGAAGGGAAGGAGAAGAAGAATAGGAACAGAAAGAGGATACGAGGTCCTGTTGTTGTTCTTTGTGTTTTCTTCATGACGTAAAAGTAAAAAGCAAGCTAAGAGTCTTGAGTAGGGAGAAAGTAATAGATGTTTAAGGAGAATGGAGAAAATGTGGCATTTTTATCAGGAGCATTTTATCAGGAGTGTGAAAGGATAATAAAATGTAGTTGGATACTTGTCCAACAGTCAGGGCCATTCTACCTTGATGACTTAGGAATCTTTGAACATTTCAAGAACTCTCATTCTTCCTTTCTACCAGTATAAATCTTAGGCTCTTTAGGTTACAATACTTGGCATTATCTCCCCCCATCTACTCCACTACTGTTACCTCTTCCCTTACCAATTCCTAAATCTCCAAGTCCTACTTCAAAACAATTGAAGTAGCTAATTATAAGATCGATGTAAAAGTAATTCCAGTTTTTAATAACTTACTTTTTTTTTTTTTTTTTTGAGACACAGTCTCGTTCTCTTGCCCAGGCTGGAGTGCAATGGCACGATCTCAAGCTCACTGCAACCACCGCCTCCTGGGTTCAAGAGATTCTCCTGCCTGAGCCTCCCACATAGCTGGGATTACAGGCACCCACTGCCATGCCAGGCTAATTTTTTGTATTTTTAGCAGAGACAGGGTTTCACCCTGTTCCCCAGGCTGGTCTTGAACTCCTGAGCTCAGGCAATACACCCACCTCGGCCTCCCAAAGTGCTAGGATTACAGGCATGAGCCACCATGCCCGGTCATAACTTATTCTTTTAGCAAGTATTTATTGAGTACCAACTATGTTCCAGGGAAATGAAGACACAACAATGAGAAAAAAAAATTGAGACAATACACCTTCTATGACATTTCTAAAACCACAAGGTAACTTCTGTTAGCAAGATTATGATATTCTTGCTTTCACTTCTTTAGAAAGTACTAATAGAAAATCAGGAATGTATCAGCAGAACATACACAAGTGGCATCCCTTAGAGAGGTATGTTGTACCAGAAAATATTTTGTGCTAGACTCCCCACCCTACCTCCAAAGAAGAAGTAAAGAAGCAGTTATCATTAGGAGTATGGAAAAGTGGAGAGAAATGGGAAGGCATACAGGGGCAGAAGCATACATTTTCTCAAAGCACAGGATCTAATTTGTCAAATAATAAGGAAACTCCCAAATATATATCCTCAGGACTATTCTCTACCCACCTATGCTCTCCACTTTTTTTCTGGGCGCTTAATGCAAGGATTCACGGAGAAACAAATTATTATTTGTCTAAAATCTGCTACATTCTAGGCAGGCATACTTTTGCATAAAATACTACATTTAATTATTTGAATGGTCTTATCAAATGCAAAATTCTCATTTTAAAGATGAGTAAACTAAAACAGAAAGAGTTCATGTAATTTGCCCATGGATGCACAGCTAGTGAAGATAGAGCTAGTATTCAACTCTGTAGTTTATTGCTCTTGCTGGTACATCAGAGAAGGTAAGTGGGAAAAAAGTCATATCTATAACAGCTCTCTGTTTCAAATCAGAAAGGATTTCAGATGTTGTTTCTAAGATGCAAGAGATAAATCTCTATGAATTATACTGGAATATGAAGGGCTAGAGAATATGGAGCAGCTCAGATTGAGTAGATTTTCCCCCCTCAGTAATCCCCTGAGAAAAGGCTTTGGAGCCAGAAATCAGAAGAAGCTTTCTCTTAGAGAAAGCCAGCTTAAAAGTAAGTGGAGAGATCTTGCTTTCAGCTTTTATCAGAGTTCAAGCAAACTCCCAAAACTTGAACCGATCCCCTAACAGTGTTTTCAACAGATCCTAAATGATACCACATGCCAACAGCATTTTTTGCAGTAAGCGAGAACTGAAGACAAAATCACTTCTGGTAACAACCCTTCATCCACAAAGATAATGTCTTTTTAGTCATTCCTTCCATGAGACAACCTATGCTTATTAGTTACTAAAATTGACTATGTAACTGTCCAGTGGAGACGGGCAAAATAGACACTGGAGATGATTTCTAAGAGTGTTGTGTTCATGCATTGTTCCAATAACAGTATAGAATTCACTGGATATGTCAAAGGATTCAAACCAACTTTGTAAACTGGTTCAGAATGTCAAACCAAGATTTATATTCATTTTCATTTCTATTTATTTAAGCTGTACAACATGATGTTTTGATATACATATACATAGTGAAAATTTTACTACAGTCAGCTAATTAAGATACTCATCCCTTACACAGTTAGGTTTTTTCTTTCTTTCTTTCTGTTTCTCTTTCTTTCTTTCTTTCTTTCTTTCTTTCTTTCTTTCTTTCTTTCTTTCCTTCCTTCCTTCCTTCCTTCCTTCCTTCTCTAGTAACGAGAACACTTAAGATCTAGTCTCAGCAAATTGTGATTGATTCAGTTTACCACAGAAGAAGTCATTTTGATACAGAATTAAGACTGTTTCCTTAAAAAGTTTTTCCTGGAGGGGTCATCCATGTTGCAGAAAGCTACTAAGGAGGGCCTTTAGAAACTGACCAGGGTGTCAATAGATTTTCTTCCTCTAATTTAATGTACTGACTCTAATTAGAAAATTTTCAAATCTTTTATTGCAGGTGAGCTCAGCTTCAAGGGCTAACATTCATTAAGGATATGGACACTCTGCTAACCACTTGCATTTCACATTCCTTCCTACAGAAGGATCACACGGGCTGCTCTATCAGGGTTGCTATGGCCTAGTGTGGATGTGCACTGTTGGAGAGTACACAACAGAGGTAATGGAATTCAGTTATGGTTTTTAATTCTGCAAATTAATGGATGAGGCAATAAGTTTAAAATGAGAGGAAAATGAACAGAGAGGAAGCTAGAATAAAAATGTAGGCCCATACTCTGTATGATAATGAAAAGTGTGAAAATCAGAAAATAAACTTTTATTTTGCAATCTGTTGTCCTAACAAACTTTTAATACATAACTGTTTCAATCTGCTTCCAGATCAGCATCCCTTTGTAAACACATGTTAAATTTGAGTACAGAGAGATGGACAATTGCAATGCATCACTTAACTGCATCAATATTTTATGTAGTTGATCATATAAAAATCAGAAGCAGATTTAGTGTTCTCTGTGGACTGTAGGGACTAAGAGTTTGTTGACCACATTTCCACTTCATAAACAGAGTTATCCAACCAAGACTTGTTTAGAAACTAGAAATGTAGTCAAACACACTGTCCCTGATGCTTCATTTACTCTTCTAAGCCAACACATTGATAATTTTAGAGCTATTTCTACAAAACTAGATACATACATAATTAGGAAAATAGGAGAAAATAATCTATAATATGGAAAGTAATAATATATGATAATTAGAAACTGATATTTTGGTGGATAAATCAGAAGAAACATAGTAATTTCTATATTATGTTTCAATATTCACTCATTTAAAACAGTACATAGGTTTTATACTTACATGCATTTCACTATATTTATAACATTACAGTAAAGAAATTAGGTCTTGAGCTCCAGTTGTCAAAAGCCAGAATCATGGAAGTTAGTCTCAGCTATAAGGGGGTAGAATCTAGAATTTACAAATATTTTTCACTTATTTCTCCCATTTTATATGTATAACTAAAAACTGTCAAGACGTATATATTATCCTCATTTTATAAATGAAGAAAAAAAAGTACAGAATAATTTTATGGCATAGCGAAAACAACACCGGACTAAAAGTTCCATTAACTAAACATGCATTTAAACGTAATATCTTTGGTAAGTCAGTTAATTCTCTTATGCTTTCGTTTTCTCACTTGTAAAATCTGGAGCAAGAATTTATTTTGAAATCTATGAGGTCCCTGTAATTTACAAAAGTAACGATTTCTTGGCAGAACAAGTATCACATTATAGTCACTGGTAGAACAGGGGTAGAACTCAGGCCTCTGGACTTTCACCACAAACTTGATGATAAAACACATCTGAAATCAAGAGCTAAGCTACAGAAGATATACAGGTCTTTGCTTTATCCTTCATGCAAAGTCATCAGAAACATGCAAAACTCACGATCTAACTTAAAAATAAATCTTCCTACAAAAGAAGTGATAAGTTTTGTTCACTTAGCAAAAAGCACTAAAAATACTAATTTAATCATTTTGTGCCTAAAGTTAGTTAATGTATAAAAAAGCAATACCACAATGATTTTTATAAACATTCTTTGATTAAACTCAATCATTTACTTACTCAGTATCTGGACCCAGGCAGCTGAACATTTCTAGAGAAAATTAAACAACTGGGCTGTATGGGGCTGAATAGTGAGTGTCTCCCCCAAATTCTTGTCTATTTAGAACCTATGAATGTGAATGAGATCTTATTTGGAAAAAGAATCTATGCTGATGTAATCAAGTTAAGGAGAGGGTATACTAAATTAGGTGAGCTGTAAACCCAATATAACTTGTGTCCTTATAATAAGAGGAAAATTTAGACACTGGAAAATATAGGAGGAATGCCGTGTGAAGGTGGAATAGGGATAGGGATAGGAATGATGCATCTACAAATCAGAGAACATCGGGGTTGCCAGAAACCACCAGAAGCTAAGACGAGTTTAGACAATTTTTCCCTCAGAGCCCTCAGATGGAACCAATTTGCCAACAACTTGATTTTGGACTTTTGGCCTCCAAAACTGTGAGAAAACAAATTCCTGTTGTATCAGGTATCATCTGGCCAAAGGCAAGTGCATTGCTCTGTTGACATCTATTCTTATATCATGACACATACATACTTGATCTTCCAAAAGATGGCATGACCCTGCTTTCTCTTTTGAACTTGTGTTCTGGATTCTATACTCTCTCACATCCTCAAGCATTCTAATCCTGTTATATAGCATCTTCTTCTTAAGAAAAGAAGAAAATAAGTTTCCATCCCATGTCTCTCTTCAGCTACAGCCCCATTTCTTTACTCACCTTCACAGTAAAAGTTCTTGAGTCCTCTGACCTTGTTTCTATTTTCCTACCTCATTTTTTTCACACATGCCACTTGAGCATCTATCTCCTCTATTTCACCAAAACTGCTCTTGCAAGATCACCAGCCTCCTTTGTGTTGCCAAATCCTTTGCTGCTGTTTGTGTCTTTACCTTCTACACTCATAAAGGGCATTTCACATCTGTAGACCAACTTCACTTTTTTGAAATGCTTTTATAATTACTATTTTAATATTTATTGTATCATAATTTTCTGTTGTTCCTTTTCAGTCTCCTTTGTGGGCTTTTTTCGGCTTGCTGATGTCTAAATGTTGGAGTGATCCAGTTTTAGATCTTTTATACTCCCAAGTGGACTAATTTAGCGTCATGGCTTTTAAATACTGTCTATATGCTAAATACCTATTTTCAGTTTTTATCTCTCTCATGAGCCCTAGCTCTTATACTCAGTTTCATTTGAAGGTCTAATAGGACCATGTTCCAAGCAGAACTACAGCTGCACACCAAACTTTTACTTTTAGTCTACCCTATATTAGTAAGCAGCAGCAACATCTATGCCATAGTCCAAGTCAAAATTCTGAGTCACTCGTGATTCTTTTCTTTGTCTCATTACCACCCCCATCGCCAATTCATCACCAAATCCTTCTAGCTATCCCCCCAAAATATATCCAAAATCTGCCCATCTTGTCATGTTTATCATCATAACCTTGGCCCATGTCACTATCATCTCAACCTATGCCACTGCTATAATATATAAAATTGTATTATTGCTTCTGCTCTTGCCCCTGTGATTCATTCTCCAGGTAGCATCAAAGTGATCTTCCATTATTACATCTTTCTGCTTAAAACCCTCTGATACTTGCCCTATTCAATGAATTTTTGTAATGCTTAACTTTTAAAATGATCCTACAAAGGCTACTCATCTCTCTAACTTTATTTTATTTATTTATTTATTTATTTTATTTATTTTATTTATTTTATTTATTTATTTATTTATTTATTTACTTGAGACAGAGTTTTGCTCTTGTTGCCCAGGCTGGAGTGATGCAGTGACATGATCTCAGCTCACCGCAACCTCTGCCTCCCGGGTTCAAGCGATTCTCCTCCCTCAGCCTCCCGAGTAGCTGGGATTACAGGCATGCACCACTACGCCTGGCTGATTTTGTATTTTTAGTAGAGATGAGGTTTCTCCATGTTGGTCAGGCTAGTCTAGAACTCCCATCCTCAGGTGATCCACCCACCTTGGCCTTCCAACGTGCTGCGATTACAGGTGTGAGCCACTGTGCTTGGCCTCTCTAACTTCATTTCTTACCAATCTCACCCTCTCTCACAATGGTCTAGTTACATTGGCTCTTACTCCTTTTCTCTGAATATGCTATGCTTCTTCCAGCCTCATAGCCTTTGCATTCATGTGTTCTCTATGCTAGATTTCCTGTTCCCTCTGTTGAGAGTGATCTCACAGTAAATCTTCATGTAGTTGAGTTATTCTTATCTTTCAGGTCTTTGTTCCATGGTTACTTTCTCCCCAGTGGCTTCCCTGGCCATCCAATCCTACTTGCTACAGCTCATCGTGTTATCTTGTTTCATTTTCTTCTTAGCATGTATCACTACCTGCTTCACTGGAATATAAACACTTAAGAGTGGGGCCATGTTTTTCTTATTTATTACTCTATTCCCAGGGCCTGGCAGAAAATAAGTTGGAAACAAATATTTGTTGATAAAGACTTATTATCCCATGACTACTATGCAAAATATAACAAGTTTACTCACAAAGATGACGTTTATCCTATATTTTTATGTCCATTCATAATTTTTAGTTAAAATATCACAAAAATATTTCTCCAACTTTGGAAATTTAAACCTTTTTTTTTTGTATTTCAGAGAAAGAGCTTAATGGTTAGACAAAAGGAATAGTTATCACTGCAGATGACAAATTGCTAGAGGAAAAGTTCTGTGTTGCTGGTCCTTAAACAACAATTCCAGAAGATAGCAACTCCACCCAATTGCACTCAGAAGGGCCAAGGCTTTTAGTGCATCTTCCAGCAGTTCATTGGCCCCTTTACTGTCACCAAAGCAAAATTATTGAGACATCTCTATATTCTAATTATTTCTCTTCTTCCCCAAGATTACTTACATGTGGCTGTTCAAGGCTCTGATAGGTGATCCATATTCAACTTTCTCTCATAAAATCTAACGAGCGAGGAGAAAAGATAAAATAGATAACTGTAATTATTAATTTTTTTTCTGGGTCTTTTTGCCTCTTTGAATATAGAAGAAGAAAAACATTTTTACTGAATAACTGTTATATGCAGATACTCTATTAGGTATTTTGCGCATTTTATATCACTCGACCCTCCTAAAACAATCTTTCAAAGTAGAAATGAAGAGTGAGTGGAAGGGTCTTCAGATCCTCAGGCTACTCGGTGGTTGTTAAGCATAGTTCATGTTTCTGTTGTTGTCGTCGTTGTTTTGTTTTGTTTTGTTTTGTTTTTCACATTAGTCCCTGGGAATGACTCTGATAACAAAAAAAATACCATTTTAAAAATGAAATCTATTGACTTAAGACAGGCAGCCCTCTGGCTGAGTATATACATATTTTGATTATATGTTTGGTGTTCACATCAACACCATCAAGAAATCTTCACAATAGTGTTCCCCTCTTTTGTATAAAAGTTGTTTCATTCCAGAAGGACAACTCCAAAACAGTTTGAGGGTAAGCTAATTTTCAGGGCTTTATCTCAGAATATTGTTGAAATGTCTCATTTATATGTCAGTTTTCTTATACTGTTTCAGACAGACAACAAAAAATTTTTGATTTTTTTTCCCTAGCTGAAATACCTTTTAAATAGAAAACAATCCTAACTTCCAACTCCATTGACCCTATGTAAACTCTTCAAGTTCAAAACTGATTTTAAGTTTGGCAGTTTCTATTGCCTGCAATATAAAGGTGAGGGAAATCTAAGATTAGACCATCGAATGTGGGAAAAGAAGATATAATTGATAGAAACCAGCAGACATTTATTTCAGCTCACCTCCACTGCAAAATAAGGACTATTCACCTTAGCTAAAGAGATTTTTGAAGACTGCAGAATACTGACAAAAAAAATTGTGACTGTAGTGCAAGTTCTCTCGAATGTGTATTAATTTATATATATATATATATATATTTTATACTCTTTATTGCAGAATACAAACATATGACCTGAATATAGAACAAAATAATTAAAATCAGAAACTTTTCAAAAAATTTTAAAATTAGATTTATGGAAGAATGCATACTTTTTTCTAATAAAAAAAGAATATTTCATAATATGGATGCTTGTACATAATACTTTCTGTATCTACTTCTTAACCTCCTCTATCTCCTTTAACAGTACACAGACATACAGTGGTTTTTCTTTTTGTCAAAGAAAGTGCTACAATTTCTAAAGCTGCCCATTGAGTGTTTCTGAGCCATAGCCAAGAGCTATTTCAAAATGAGGACAGATTTCTTTTCTCCCTGGGGACAGACAGCATGATGCTTCTTCAGCCCTGCATTCTAAGTTTTTTCTCCCTCAGATCTTGTCCAATGCCAGGCATAAAAAGTCACTTCTACTATTAAAATGCTGACAGCAATCAAGGTGGGATTAGGTTTATTTTTTATTCATTTCATGTTAAACTAAATCATCTGTATTTCTGTAACGATGAATTTAGCCATTCACTTAAAGAAAAACAAAAGAGATTTCAACCATCCCATCAGAAAGGAAACAACCACCAAATTGTTCTCAGATATGGGTCAAGAACAGGTCATTGTGAATGTAGTTGAACATAATTATGACATACATTAATAATGCCTGGCATTGTCTCCATTCTCATCAAAGAGCGTGCAAAGAGAGTCTTTTAGATACTAAAGATGACAACCATCTCATCTTCCTGACCCATCACTATGTTTTGTCAAGCCTGGTTTCCCCATCCATTTTATTTGCATCTGCTGCAGTAAAACAACAGTGTGTTTTGTTATTGTTGCAGAGTTTTCCCAATACAGTGCTTTTCCGTATTTTCATAGAGGTTTAACAACTTGCAGATGAATTCTCACAACATCCCTTCAGACTTCCCACGTGGATTTAAACACAATATGCAATTATGTCATTTATATGAGGAGAGAGAAACCAAGAAAGGTTAATGTTCCAATGCTTTTAACGGAGTTCTTTCTGCATCATGCCATTTTATTTCTCTGTGCAGAAAGAAAATACAGTTACATATGGTGATAAAGGAGATGAATCAAATAAGCCTGAATCATATTAGTGATATTGAGTTAAGCTTCAGCTGTCAGATTCTCTCTACCTTGCTACACTTTGAACATCCTTGAAGCTACCAACATTCTTCTCCACTATTTAAATTTTCTACCTATTTAACCTCCAGGTTGGTAGGCTGCAGGAGGGGCAGAAGGTAGAGTAATACATTTTAAGTATGAATCATTTGCTTTATAAAGAAAAGCAGTGTTAATTGACACATTTCAAATGTCTTTAATGCCAATTCCATTTTGAAAAGGACATAAGAAAAATATATTTTAATAATCTCAATTACTATTTTAATGTTTTGTTAGGGGTGTGTGTGTGTGTGTGTGTGTGTGTGTGTGTGTGAGTTTTTAAATAGTATTCATGTTGCCATTGCAGGATTCTCTTGTCAGAAGCAAGATTCTAGTGTACTGCTCGAACAGGCTTAAGTTAGCAAGAAACATATGCGTAAGTACTTCTATAGCACTACTGCTGCTCCCTGCCTGTCAACAGCTATTCCAGGGCTCAGGGAAGGATTGGATACCACTTAAGAGAAGGCCAAGCAAAACATGTGGGGTTGAGCAGAAGCTAGGGACTGGCACAAAAGACAGTTACCAATGACATAATAAGCTATGCAGCATAAAGGAACACAGATCTAAGATGAGAGAGGAATGAATCTGAGAAGGAAGTCAGGCAGAACTCAAGATCCAGAAGCTGAAGATCAAAATATAAGCAGCAGAAATGGAGACTTAGACATTTAAATAGATAGCATGTGGAGCCAAACCTAGGCACTAAGACACTTGGAGTCAAGGGCAGGAATTCAGATAATTGAAGATGGCACCATGTTTAGTGGAAAAAGGAAATAAGCTACCAAAGCATGAAAAGACATGGAGAAATCTTAAATGCATATTACTTAGTGAAAGAAAAGCCATTAGATCTGAAAGGCTATCTACTGTAAGATTCCAACTATATGACATTCTGGAAAAAGCAAAACTAGGAAGACAGTAAAAAGATTAGTGATTGTCATGGGTTAGGAGGGAGGGAGGGATGAATAGGAAGAGCACAGAAGATTCTTAGGGCAGTGAAACTACTAGGTGTGACACTATAATGGTGGATACAAGTCTTTATACATTTGTCAAAACCCATAGAATGTACAGGAACAAGCATTGACCCTAATGGAAACTATGGACTATAGGTGATAATAATGTTTCAATGTAGGTTCATCAATTGTAACAATTGTACAATTCTGATGCAGGAAGTTGACAGCAGGAGAGGTGAAGCTGTGTGTGTGTTGTTGGGGACAGGAGGTATATGGGAACTCTCTCCGCCTTCCTCTCGATTTTGCTGTGAACCTAAAACTGCTCTGAAATAAAGTTTGTTAAAAAAAAAATGGTACCATCAAAGTTAAAGCAGAATTACCAGCAAGACTGTTTTAGTAATGACCCAGAACATCAATCAAAAAGGAGTCAAAGCTGGCCTTGTTGTCTGGGGACAGACTCAAATTTTAAAATAATGAGACAACATTGAACCTAGAGTTGGGTGATGTTATGAGTTGAAATGTGTCTTCCCACTACCCAATTTATATGTTGAAGCCCTGACCCCCAGTGCGATAGTATTTGGAGATGGGGCCTTCAGGGAATAATTAGGTTTAGATGAGGTCATGAGGCTGAGACCCTAATAATGGGATTAGTATCCTTATGAGAAGAGACACCAGAGGGCTTGCTCAATATCTTTCTCTACCATGTGAGGACACCCTGAGAAGGCAGCCATCTGCAAGCCAGGAGGAGAGCCCTCACCAGAACCTAACTATGCTGGCACCCTGAACTCAGACTTCCAGTGTCAAGAACTGTGAAAATAAATGTCTTTTGTTTAAGACACCCAGTCTATGATATTTTGTTATGGCAGCCCAATCAAACTAACATAGGTGACAGCTGCCAGGTCTAGCTTCTCCTGAACCAAGGCCCCTAATATCCAACCTAAAATTGGATGTGGTAGATGTTGACTGTACCCTTCAATCCTTGTAAACTTCCAGGTCTTTCTATCTTTGCTCTGCAGCCAAATGCATTGAAACATTTCACTAGGTGCAGAAGAAATCACTGAGGCCAAGATAAAGTACTTAAATGTCTAGAATCCAAATTGCATTGTGAATGAGCACTATGTTACTTTGGATGGATATTTATTTTTTAGTATAAAAGATATAAAAATTTATAATTATGAAGGTCACTAAGGTGGTGGATATACTCACAAGTCCCCTCAGCCATTCTGTGTTAGGTAAAAATGCAAAGGAAAACAGACAAAATATGGATAAAAAGGATGCTCTTTACTTGTTTTCAAACTCTGTCATTAAAACCACTTCAAAGAAGAGTTGCCCTCTGGTTGTCCTATTCTTGAATTTTCTGAGGAATTCCACATTCATTATAGCCATTCCCCACTTATTCTGACTCTTATTTCCAGGGTAACACATCCTCATCATTTTGATCTATGCTGAAAAGTTGCCCTAGTGTTATGTTTTCATTTTCATCTTCACTCAAGGGGCAATGATGAGACTCTGGTGACATGGCCCAGGTAATGGCACACCGAGGCCTTCTGAAAGGCCCTGATAAAGGTTGCTCATGTCCTTCCTTACTCTGTGGTCAGGGACTGGGGAAAAGGATTTGAGGTAAAGATCCTGCCTCTATAAAGTAATACATATGCACAAAGTAATGCAAACACTACCTGTACTTTTGCTAGTCTCAGGAAAAAAAAATAAAACCCTGAAATTCTTTTTTGACATGATGCCTAAGATGAGAATAGCAATAATAGAAACTAAAAATGAACTCAGTCAATTAAAGGAGAATCTCAACATTTTCAAGGGCATTAAAAGAAGGAAATCTGAGGACCTCAAATAAGGAAGGAAGGGTAGAAGGACCATTCACGGCAAAGGCAGAGGTTAGGAATCATATTGACTAAGTAGCCTATTATGTAGACATTATATCATTAAACCTGTGAGGGTTTGCTTGCCATCACTCTCCCCAGCTTTGCATCTGCTTGTGAGCAGGGAAAATTGAACTTAGCATTCAGAGGCACTCTGCTCTTTCAAGAGGTCTAGAAGCGACTATTATTACAATTTATCAAAATACCAACTTCAACAACTTGTACCAGCACAATGTATTGAGGGTTTAGTAAGTGTTGGGCGCATTCTCTCACTTAATACTTAGAGCAAACTTCCTAAGTGTCCTCTCTCTCTTTTTTCTATGCAGGATACAGATATGGTAACTAAGTTGACTAAGGTCATGAAACCAGCAAGGATGAGACACAAAATTTTAACCCATGCTTCTGGAACCATGATCCATTCCGCCAGACAAATATGGGGGTATGTTAGGGATTTGATACACTATTTTGTGATATAATGAGCATACATGGCTACTTAATATAATACAATGTCAAGTGTATACGAATATAGATGAACACAGAACTTCAACAAATTTCCAGGTGTATTATTCTGTCACGATGGGATATAACCCAGGTCCTCCTTCAGTTTCCTTCTTCTAATATTATTAGATGCTGGGTTGAAAAGTTGGGGGTGTGCTCCTTTCATGCAACGTCTATACAGTCAGTATTACAGTTTTTATAAATGAGAGTTCTGAGGAAAACTGGAAGACAGCATGCCCAATAAAAATGCAAAAGCTTAGACACAGAAGATAAAATCTAGAAATCTTTGTGTTTTGATTCATGTATGTTCCAACTTCTTATTTCACTCCTGTCTTATTGAGCACTAAATAAGACTCCTCATACACCAGTCTGATGTGGATTTGAGTTGCCATTGTTCTTAGTTTTGGAGGCATTCTAAGGTTCTCTCCTAAACATTTTTCCTTGCCCACTTTCAGGCCTGGGAACCACAACTTGCCATGGCTTTGCTCCATTTCAGCTCCACAGCCATCCTGACCTTTGGAAACACCTTTTCTATATGACTCCAAATATCCCTCCTGCAAGCCATTTCACACTAACTCTGCAGATGTCTTCTTTGCCATTTGAGAGCCAGGGACCTGTGCCTGTAGATTCCTCCCCCAGGGTACTTCCTTCTTGCAGCAAAATCCTCCTCTAGCACATGACTCATCCCTTTCCGCCTTCTTCATCTCTTTGAAATATAACTACTGCCCCCACTACTATTTTAAGATGGGCTCACCTTCCAGTCTAGGTGAACACAAGAAGCTGGTCCCTTGAGCATTCAAATGGCCTCAATGTCTGCTGCCATCATCCATGCAGAGCCACCATCTCATCACAGTCCCAACCAGGCTCAGCCTACCACTACCAGTCAGCAGTGTTTCGCCCAAGGTAGAAAATTTTAGCAATCACAGCTTTGAAATCTGAGAGTTTCCTCCTAGGTTTCTGTAATCCAAAATGAAGTAGAAGTCTATTATATATAACAGACATAGAGTTTAAACAATGGAGACAATATATTTGAACACATGTCTCCAGAGACACAGTTTCCTTTACCTCTTTTCCTCTTCTCTCCATCATGCTCCCATGAAAATGACCATTCACTAAAACAGATCTTAAAACAGTTTATGGGAACTGATGAATGAACAGAAAGCCTAAACCTTCTTCTAAAACATTATAACTCATTGAATCCAGTGAATCTCCCTTGGGTGCAATGGGTAGGAGAGCTCCCAGTGCACACAGGCTGCTGCTGCTCTGTTCCCTTCACCACCTGACAAACTGATAGAGCTTGCAGCCAAAATCATGGAGTCGCATAACCCAATGCCATCCACCTACTGTTCTTTTACCTTTGAAGACAGCTTTGTTCCCCTCAGTAAAACAGTGAAAATAGTCTTTCAGTGGCAAAGAAAATATTTCAAAACCTGTTGTGGAAAGTATCCAAGTATACAGGTTTCCTCTCCTGCTTTTTCTTATTTTTGCTTTGCAGCAAATCCCATAACAACAACAAAAAAAAAAACTGGAAATAAATAACTCTTCATTGTCCCTATCCATTTCTAAAAGAATGTACAAATCTTCTGGTCTGTCCTTCCATCAGAAAATTATGAAGTTTGAAAGCCTGTTAAGATATGACCTAAATTCATCCCATTTTGCCTCCAATCACAAAGGCATAATTCCCTTTCATTTTTTTTAACAGAATATGACTTTGGTGTAGAAGTTATTCATTTTGATATAAATCTCACTCTGCAAGAAAACATGAATAGTCAATATTTCGTCGTGTATCATGCTGTTTATCTACAATAACCAATTTATTCAAAGAGATTTATTACCTTACTACAACTCACTGCTTAGCACTGACAAAGCTGATAAGATATTCACTATATTTATGAAACTAAAATCATTTAGATAGGTAAAGGAAGGTATATATAAAGATGTGCAATGAGTATGTTTTTACATAACTGGAGGTAGAATTGCAGAGTGGTGAAACTGACATAACTACCTTAAGGAACCAAGTACTAGCCAACATGGCTGAGGTTCTCTTGGGCTCTTGTTTAGAAGCACTTCTTTTAAGCAGAATCTGTATGTATAAAATTGCCAACTTCTTCATATCTTTGACAAGTATATGTCAAAGTGTTAAGTTTTCATTAAATGCAAATTTGATCTTTTATAAAATCATGCTTAAAGCTAATATCACAGCACATCAATTAGACTTCTGTATGCTTTTAAGAGGATGAATAATTGCATTCATTTAGAAGGTACCTTGCAATATGCATAAAACAGAAATCTTATAAAATTTAGCTAATTAGAGCACAAGCCAATTCCACTCTCAAAATGTAAACAAAGCCACACTACTATTTGTTTACTCACTCAGTTCCTTTCTCTTCAGAATAATTCTGGTCCTTGAAATCAATACTAACTGATTCATCCTTCAGTGTTGCTTTAGTTCCCAGGCATGAGAAATAAGGTATTTTGGAAAAAGGAGGATTCTAGAGCTCTTCAACTATATAGTCAAACTTTAAAAATTTTAATAGTAGTAACATAATCTTACAAATATCTTTTATGTATTTCAATGACTCAAATAACATAGGTTATTTTAATCTGACTTTAATCCTCTTCTACACTCTGCCAGGTATGTAGAACAGGTATTTTCACTGAACAGAGGAAATAAAAACAGAAAGCTCAGAGAAGTTAAATGACTTTTTCAAAGTCACTTATCTTTTGAGTGGAAGATACAATACCAGAACCTATGTCTTTAGATTCTATAAAAAGTGTTCTTTTTGTCAATAATGTCTTGAAAATATCACACTTAGTTCTCTGCTTTACAAAACATGTTTCTCAAAATACTTTAAAATTTTCTTGATGAATCAGAAAGGTTTTTTGAATTCAAAAATTGAACTATGCAGTAATATATTGCTATTTTTTGCATTTTGGAACATGAAATATTACTTTTCCCAACACTGTATAATTTCAGAATACAGCACTGTTCTAATTGGTGAGCTTTATTCTTAAATTGGCACTAAGAATCCCTAGAGGGTTACTCAGCTATGCAGAACTTAAATTATCCTTACACTAAATGTCCTCAGAATATTTTAGTGTTCTAATGGATGTTCCTCTCTCTCTTCCCCATTGTTGTCTACAGATACTTCCACCATTGTTCAGGTGTCAGAAGGTTATCCCATCACTATTTTCAATTCCCAAAGGTACTTTTAGTATCATTTTTGCCTGCTGTTGCTATTTTACTCTGTCTTAATCATCTTTAATCTTACTAAGATTTAGGTTATTATATTTAACATCCAGCGAGAGTGGTCCTTTCTTCAGGTTGATGAACTAAATAATTACACCACATTTCCGATTACCTTTTAATCTTTTTACCTGTGGTTCATTTCAGCAATTTTTCCACTGTTCAGACTTAGAATATATACATATATAAATATTTATTTTAAAATTTGGATTTGGGCCTGCTGCGGTGGCTCATGCCTGTAATCCTAGCACTTTGGGAGGCCACGGCAGGTGGATCACAAGGTCAGGAAATCCAGACCATCCTGGCTAACATGGTGAGACCCTGTCTCTACTAAAAATACAAAAAAATTACCCGGTCATGGTGGCACGTGCCTATAGTCCCAGCTACTCAGGAGGCTGAGGCAGGAGAATTGCTGGAACATGGGAGGCGGAGGTTGCAGTGAGCCGAGATTGCTCCACTGCATTCCAGCCTGGGCGACAGAGTGAAAATCTGTCTCAAAAAAAAAAAAAAAAATGGATTTGTGGTTGATCAAAGCTGTGATCACAAATAAGTAGGGATGTTGCTGTTCTAGAGAAAACAAATATTTTGAATATATAATACTCAAGTTGTCATTAAACTCATAAAATGAAAGAAAATTTGACTCTCAGTGTAGTAGATGAAGTAACTTAAAGGAAATTGTGGATCTCTTTGATTCCTGATGTGGAGAATGGAGAACATCTATAGTAGAATAATGGGATCATGGAATGTTAAAAGTTAAAGCATGAAGCCTTAGTGACCGTCTGAACTTGACCCTGAAATTCCCAACCTCTTTTTTTCTGAATCCACATATGAGATGATACTTATAAGCATAAACTACTCTGTAAGTTTATTCCTGGCACACAAGCTACAAATCTACCCTTTTCTCTCCCACTCAAAATTAACATATAGGAATAAAAATGATTGTGCATGATATTATGCTAAATATAACAACCCTAAAATAAAATGTAAGTCCTTGGCAAATTTAGCACTATCCACCATTAGAAACAAATTAATAGCAAAACACATCATGTAAAATTCAAAATAGCAAAGTGTCAGGTCCAAATTTCTGTGCAGCACCTGGGTTCCAGAGAGGTGGAACAATTTAAGATCACACAGTAGGTGGTGATAGTGCCAGGTTGGAACCCACACATGTAGTTCCACTGATATTTGGAGTATATTATGATGCTCACAATTAAAATGCAAGACCATGACATACTAAAACACTAGAGAAAGGCTACAAAATGATTTTTAAACTGCATATTATTGGAGAGGAATGCTACTCCTCTTGATAATATAGGCCATATAAATTATTAAAAAGTATTAATAGTGATAAATTAACAGCCAAAGAGACATTTCTGGCATATAAAAATTACCCAGTAGAAAAAGAGAATCCAGAAAAGACAAAGTGGAACTAGCTAGCACATTTGCTATTACAAACATCCTTTTTCTATGCCATATTGGTAAAAATAAGTTCCAAGGAAATAGCACCATAAAATCAATAAATATGTATGTGATGCAAGATGTAATTTTGATACTGAACAAAGTAGTTTCCAGCAAGCTTGTATCTACATGCTCAAAGTAGTATGTAGAAAAGTAAAACTGTCTTCCTGCAATTATTTGGTGTATCTGGCTGAATTCATTTTTAATTACATTGGCTGATGGGGTGAAATCAGGTGGAGCCCTTGCCCTTTAGGCACTTACAGTCTAAAGTAGACAACATCTTTGTTGGTGCTGATAGTAACCCATGATCTAAAGAGTGTACCTCAATTGCATAGTTAGAAAGTTACTATGAATTTTGTCATAAAACTATATAAAATTAATCAAAAGAGAAAATGTGCAAAAATACTACAGATCAAAATGTTAGGTTTTGTAATTTAATCACAGAAGTAGATTTTTATCATTGTTTAGTAATTAGCATGCTAAAGTATTTTTAAAACATATACATATATGTTCAAAAACACTCCTCATGTTTCAGCAGAATGTCTTGCTTTTCCTTACAAGTGATTTTTAATTCCACTAACCTAACCGCAGATACACTGCTTGTCAGATACATGAAATATCCTATCTGTTTCACACATGGTTCACCTATCTGCAGAGATAAAATTGGATTCCACATATTCGTTGGGGGTGAAAAAAATCTCATCCTATTCTTCACTTTATCCTGAACCACCTCCTCTATGCTCTGACAATGCTTATTACAATCTCATGTGTGATGATGCAGAATATATGTATCAGAATTTTATATACATACATAATCATTACAAAAAAATGTGCTTGAAACCATACTGTCATCAAATCAATGTTTATTGTTGTCAACCTATCTATACTTTTGATGTAGAACAGATAAATTATCTAATCAAGCCAAGCCCCTACTCTTTTAAAGGGCTGCAAACAAACAGACCATTGTACAATGACAAGGGCAGATCAATGAAAATGACTACTGTCAATAAGGAGTTGTGGTTTGTCTTGAGCAAAGATCTTGGAAAAAAATTAAAATAAAAATCCCCACCAAATTGAGGGATAGAGTCACAAACTGTAATGGTTGTTTGAATTGCAGCTTTACCTGAATTCTTTGAATAGTAAACAATAAAACAATCTTTTCCTCAAAGAATAAAACAATTTAGACATGCCAATGAAAATTTTCTCCAAAACTGGAAGCCAAATCTTGAAAAAGATAAACATGAATGGTTAATTTTGTAAAGCCTGGTAAACAGATTCATTTTTAGCAAGCTTTTATTTCTTTTAATGCACATTAGGGAATTCAGAATGTGCTTAATATAAATAGGTTTAAATGTAGAAGGATTTCAAGTCCCAAATGGGCAGCTAAAATATTTAATGCTTCACAGACTATATATGCCAAGTACTTTGAACTTAAAGACAACCATTAGCAATCGCCTGGGAAAAAAAATAGAAAAAGAAAGGAAAAGAGCTAGGCTGTTCAATCTCCTAAAGACATGATTCTATGTTAAAAAGATTTGTGGCTAATTGAGGATGTTAAACAAGTAGTAAGAAGACTATGACTGTCCATTATATAATTTTATTCTAAAGTTCTGCTTATAAAACTTACAAATGTAAATTTTCTTCTAGAGCTATTACTTTACTACTCTATTAACTTGTTTTAGTAGGATTATGAAAAGGGAATTTAAACATGTAAAGGAAAGTTTATCATAGAAACCTATGAGAAATATAGTTAAATTTACATACAATAATTTGAAGACTATTGACATGATGTGTTAGAAAACAATTAAGCCTGTATCCTAAATTCCTTTGAGTCTCAAATTTCAAACTTGATGTAAAATCTCAACATATTAATAACATTTGAGGAAAAGCAAATCTGAATATAGAGTATTGTTTAGGTATGAATTTTGCAATTATTTTCAAATATATACAAAATAAAATCTCAACTAACATCATATCCATAATTTATGTCAGTTATGTTTTTGATTATAGGATTAATTTCCTATATATTATACTCAAAGTCATAAAATGCGTGTTAATGTGTGCTTCTAAAACATTTAGGAAACTTTAATTTCAGAGTAGTTAAACACTACTCAGCTCCAGGTTTATTAATGTGTACCTTTAATAGAAGGCCATTTCTAAGCTAAAAAGGACAAACCTAGCCCATACCCAGTTATCTAAACATAAAATTAATTTACAGTCTAGAAATCAGTATTGACATGGTTTCATTTTCAGGATTGTAAACTCCAGAGGGTATTTTTGTCTGGTTTGTTCACTACAACATCTCCAGCATCTAGAATAGTGGGGGGCACATGATGGGTACTGAAAGTCTTTCTTGAGCATTAAATGAATATGTTGTATTTCCAGTTTTACTCGTGGAGAAAGTTTATTATTCTTCTCTCTGGCAGAGCAAGTCTTTTTTGCAGGAGAGAGGCTCTGCAACTGATCTCTTCATATGTTCAGACTTGTCTCAGTCTCTCGAAGTAAGTATTTCCTCAAATAATGTGCTGTTATTTTCAGAAATAAGATTTTATTACATAATGTTGCTTTTAATCGTATTGAATTGCAGGATCTTTTAGAATATATAGAGCTGCTTGGGCATAGTTAAGAAAAAGAGTTCCTTGATAAGATTCCTCCTCAAGGAAGGTAACTAGCTAAGTGCAAATGTTCCAATTTATTCAGTGTAACCAAGAAAGTGATGTGAGCTGGACATTTATCAGTGGTCCAAGGATTAGCATTTCTAAAAGATATATTAACTAAACTATTTTTAAGAAAACTCCTTATACTCAGTTTACTCTGAGAACATTTCTCAAACATTAGTAGAAATAAAATGTTTCAAAAGATAAAATAAGGAAAATCACAAAGATTAGAAAAAGTTGCCTTTTTGTTTAGCATACTCATTGACAGAGTTAATAAGTAAAACACTGCATGGATTTAATCTCCTTCACGGCAATATGGTTCAAAACTCATAGCAGAGATCAGATTGCACATTTTGCTATCTATTACCCAGAAATAATCAATCATTTTTGTCTTACAGAAGCTATGTTTAGAGATCCCGTATACATTTTTCAGCTTGACTTGTAGTCCTGAATCTCTATGAGATGAAGCACAGACCTAAAATATGGTTTAGGGATGTCTTTACACTTTCTGCTTCCTTTTAATTTTTTGAAAACTCCATGTTTTACTTCTGCTTTTAAAAATACACACTCATTGTTAAAAAATGCAAACATTAACAAAATGTATGGCTTAGAAAGTAAAAATACCTACATCCAAAAATTGATGACTCTTGGCAGGTAATGAATATTCTTCATATTTTTTACTTTCCATTGACTAATATATGTATGTGTGTGCTGTACATTTAGACAGATAGCTAAGTGGATATATTTTTACAGAAACATAATCATATCAAATGTAGTGTGCTGATGCTTTTTCTTTTCATCTAACAATATGTCTTATAAACTTTCCCATATTATTACAAACATAGAAATCTAATTTTGTAAAAATAGCACAATATTTTATGGCTATACTATAAAATATTTATTTAATACAAGATTGGCAGATATATAAGTTTTACCTTTTTTTTCCTTTTATAAGTGAGCACTTCTGCACTTAGATAATTCTTGTGTATTTTGTAGGGTGAATTTTCTAAAAATACAGTTTCTGGGTCAAAAATATGTATTTACAAAAGTTTAAAAGCCAAATTTCTCTAGAAAATGATCATATTCACTTACACTTTTACCAATATAAGTGAGAATATACTTCATTACACCTTTGCCAATACAAAGGCTACTTTTATAGATTATTTAAAAACTTCTTGCATATTAGGGATATATGCCTTTGGACTGTTTTATTGTTGTAAATATTCTTTTCAGGCTGTTGTTTATTTTTGAAACTGGTTATGATATTTATATTTTTTGCCACAGAGATGTCTGTTTTGTGCATATGTAGTAAGATCTTCTCCACATATAAATATATATAATATAAATTTACTCAAATATGGAAGAGTAGCCTCAAAATATTTAGCACTATCTTAGCTTGGGTTTAAATTTATATACTAAAATGGTAGAGAGATAGATAGATGACAGCTAGAGAGATAGGTAAATGATAGATACAGATAGATGGATGGATAGATAGATAGATAGACATAGATACAAAGAAATAGATAAGCAATATATTCCATGCTACTAGTATGCCTGTACTGATTTGTTAAAACTGAATATCAGTCCTGCATGCATCTGTCTTCTTTTATTTCTTTTATGGCTTAAAAGTGTATATTTAAGTCTTTGATTCATATGAAATTTACTTAATATAAAGAGTGAGATAAAATGCATAACTCAACTGCCCCCAAAAGCTAAATATTCTATTGTCATCTATTAAATATTAAATATTACTCCAGTAATATAAATGGCAACTTTATTTTTGTATAAAATATATAGATATTTAAGGGAAGGAATGTTCCAGGAATTCAAAGTATCCAGTACAAAGGCTCTAGGGAGAGTACACCTGGAGTATTCAAGGAACAGCAAGGAACCAGTGTCACCGGAGAGGAGAGAGCTAGAGGGAAAGGACAAGGAGATAAGGCATATGGGAAATGCCAGGAGCATCCACCTTGTATAGGGCTTCTTCAATCACTCTCTGCATCGGAAGGACTTTTTAACTGGTATCCTTTATTTTGTTGGTTTGTTTGTTGGTAGCTAGAGGTGAGTGTGGATTTTTGAAAATCTCAATTTCTTTCATTGTTATTTACTCATTAAGTTATCTTTTTTATATAAATTCTAATCATTCCTACATTTAAAAAATTTAAAAAATTTGTGTTTTCTGGCACTTTTCCAAATTTGTAGCTATGGAAAGGTACAAAGACATATCTTAACATTTAAAATGTATAGTTCCTCTAAATCCACAGATGCTGCTTTTTTTGGTTCTTATTTACACACCATTTCCCTTTTTCTTTCATTAAGTGAGCTAGTAAATTTTTTTCAAGAATTTTTTTAAGAAAGCACCTCTGAATTTATGTTATTTTTTCTCCAATTCGTTAATGTACATTTCTATTTTAACAATTATTTTCCTCTGTATTCTTAGTTTGTTTTCCCATCCTAATGCCTTGAGCTTAATATTTAAGTGATTCATTTTTATTCTTTTTTTGTGGGGGGGGATGACGAAGTTTCATTTTATTGATTTTCAGTACCCAAGTGTGGCAATGTAAGGTTGCCACAGACAGCAAGTGACATGACACCACAAGGACCTTCTAAGAGAATTATTCTTACTTTTGATGGAAGACATCACTTAAACAAACAAACAAAACATTTAAAGAAGCTCTCTTGGTTTTTATAATTCCTAACTGTAGGCTATTATTTTAGTACAGAGCAAAAAATTCTCCTTGGTTGGTCACATCATTCATTATTGAAAGGGAAACTCAGTAACAAAGGAAACAAAACACTGAAATAAAGAACTAAATAATTTACTGAAAGGTAGTTTCAGAAATTATTAATAATTATTAATCAGAAATGATTAAAAATACCGCAATATTTTTATTGACCACACAGAATTCGCCCATATCCTATAGCTTGTGAATTTACAATGTTGCACCTTTATTTACTAGAAATTCTATAATTTGTTTTGATCTCTTCTTTGATCTAAAAATTATGTAGAAGAGAGATTTGTTGTTCTTTTTTTAAAAATGTTTTTTTTGTTTTAATCTCTGCTATTTTAATGAATTTTGTCAAAAATATTGATTACATTGCTTTAATTTCTTAAAATCTATAAGGTTTATATTTATGGTCAATATGAAATTCTTTTAAAATTTTGATAGATTTACACTTAATAATAAACCTTAATTTAGCATTTGAAATTTATTCAAAATACTTTTACACTCTTTCTGTGAACTGAAAAGAATCTTGGTCCTTCATAGAATTAAACTAAAATCACTACTTGGTATTAACGCATTGATCCTATCGATTCAATTAATTCCATTCAAGCAAACCAACTGAGTCCCTATACTGTTTCAGGCTCTGTGTTAGACATGCGGGGTAGAATCATAAATGAGCCATAACTCATTTTTTTCTCACCTACTATGATTTAGTGAGCAAGAGAGTTGTGCACAATTACAAACAAAAAACAGAGGGTCACATAAAAAGTCTGGTTAGAGAATACAGTAGGGAGAAATTAATTCTGAGAGGAGGATCAGTGAAGGCAATAGGAAACCATTGCCTTTTCTCTAACAGGGTCTTCAATACATATTGTTCAAGACGTCTGTTCACAACTGTGATCAGAAAGGACAAGAACTGTTAAATAAATCAGGTCTCAAAATACCATGAAGTTTTTGCTATAGATGTCATGGTTTTCATCATAAACCCAAAGTAAGAACTATTTTATTACGCATAGGAAAATCTTCCAATGAAGATTTTCTAGCAAGACTTACTAAATTATTTCTCATATGATGGCAATGCCCCTACCCTGCTTCAACCCACACAATTGAAAAAGATGTGACTTAAGGGAATTTATATTGGAAGGCACAAATCTCTGAGACCACAGTAAAAGCTAGTGAGAAAAAGGCTGTCAGAAAGGGAAAGTAAGGTTTCATAAAACAAAATGGGACATTTGTCTTATTGTTAAAACATGCCATGGAACTCCAGGAATTGTGGTGCTCAGGTGCAGAATAATGAGCCTTGATTTGGCAATGGAAAATTCCATGAAGGATCCAATAATACATTATGCTTCATTAATATAAAGATTTTTACATTTCTACTGTGGATTTTCATCCTTCATTATCCCCAAATGCTTTGTTAACTGAAGCCACTATGAAGAAAATCTCACCACCACCTTAGGAAAGGTTTCTAACGATATGTTTTTAAACAAAAATATCAAAAACAAGTTTGTTTCAGGAAAAGAGAAAAAATGTACCATAAAAGGTTCAGAAATATCTAAAGCCAGCAAATCTTAGCACCATCACAATATAAGTTTAGATTTACACAGAGTAACTTATTTGCACTGAGAGGAAGGGCAAGGGCCTGGCCTGAGCTGATAGTTTAACAGTGGATTTGGATGTCAGCCTTTTTGTTGATAAAATCTTTGAGTGACAATCTTTGGGAAGACAGATGTAAAACTGCTACATGACACCTCATATTAGGTTGGTGCAAAAGTCATTGCGGTTTTGGTCATTATTTTTAATGGCAAAAACCGCAACGACTTTTTCACCAACCTAATACAATTTCTAACTCTTCAGTCTGCTCAACCGAGAGGTATGATTTAATTCTCACCAGCCCTTTTCCCTTCTACCTAATGTTTCTCTGTTACTTGTAATAGAATAAATGTGGATAGAGAACAGGGTACTCAGCAGTGCAGAAGCATTTCATGTACTGAGGTTGGTTTTTCCTATTCTAGTTACAAGCAGCCACAGTCAGCAAGTCACAGCAGAGCTCATGGTTTTGAGGTTCAATGAAGACTGCATGTGCTATTTCCTAAGTTGTCTTGCCCAGAATAGGGGTAGCAGCCTCATCTTATCCATAACAGGTAGTCAGGGAAGCTTCTAGTTAACCGTCAGTGGCTACAAGAGATGTGGTCAGAAGGAGTGGGCTGTGTCTCTGTTTCTGCCCTTAAACAAGGCAGATGTAAATTTTTATTCATCAAAAAGGCAGGAGATTCGACCTGATCTATAAAAGCCCTCTACTACCACAAAACTTAAATTCTTCCAGTCCTTGGGTAAGCCCTGTCCAATGTGTGGAGTCTAATACAGACATTCTCAGAACCTACAAGTATTTCCTAGGCTGACTTTCTTTGACTTAAAAAAAAAAAATAGTGTAAAAGCACAGATTCTGAGCTTATGAGTTGGTTACCTTGGTCAAGTTACTTAATCACTCCATGCTTACATGTCCTCATCTGTAAAATGAGGATAATAACCATGCCTATTTAGTAAGTTTTAAAAAGAAAGTGCTTAGAATAGTGCCTCTCACATGGAACATAATCTATGTAAACATCTGTTATTGTTAATGGTCAGATTATACAAGGTAAAATGAGATAGAAAATTTTGCAAGTACACAACTGACTATAAAAAAATTAACAAATATCCAAATTAATGTTTCACAAATTTATATGTTTAAAAGCAAGATTTTTAGTATTTTCTCATACCGACTTCCCTTGATATTATAATGGGAGCAATTCCCCTGCCATTAATATTTTCAACATTGGTTTTAATGGTATTATTACATTCTCTCACATAAGGATATATTGTGATATATTTAAATTCTTCTATTGTTTAAGAAAGACTATTTCCATTCTTTGCTATTTGAAAAATGCTAAGATAAATAACCTTGTATGCAAATATTGGACTAAAAATTGATTTTTATTTCCTCAGAATATATCCCATGAATGAGATTTATTGGTCAATAGGAATTAACATCCTTAGGGTTCTTCATATACAGCTCCCAATTGCTTTTCCAAAAGGTTATCCTAATTTGCACTTCTATTGGTAGGGTTTGAGGGTCCTGGTCAAACTATTCCCTATTCAGCATTGAAAAATACCTTTAAGTAATCTTTGCTAATCTGATACATAAAACAGTACATAACTAACAAATTAATTTGAAAATCTTTGCTTACAGCAAGTTTTTTAGTAGTTAATAACTCATCATGATGTATTTCTTCTGTGAATTGTTGAATTGTCTGTATACATTTTTTAGCCATCATTTTTTATTATAGTATTTGTGTTTTATTATGGTATCGTTTTATTACATAGACCTTTGTTATGTTTTGGAAACTTTTTTTTCTCACAATTGCTATTCATCTTTCATTTTGGTTTACATTGATACTTCATTCATCTAGCAAGTATTTATTGAATATAAACCATATGTTGGTCATTGCTCTAAGCCCTGAGGAAAAAAGCCAATTTTCTCAAATAAAGACGAAATCCTTGATCTTGTATAACCTACAGTCTTGTCGGGGAGACAAATATTAATCAAGAAACAAAGCAAGTAAATAATATAATGAATAATTTATAAAATTGATATCCAAAGGGTATTGATCATTTTTCACCAGCCAGAATGCTGCAATATAAGATACATGTTGGCCGGGCGCAGTGGCTCACATTTGCAGTCCCAGCACTTTGGGAGGCTGAGGTAGGTGGATCACCTGAGGTTAGGAGTTTGAGACGAGCCTGACCAATATGGTGAAACCTTGTCTCTACTAAAAATACAAAAACTAGCTGGGCATGGTGGCATGCGCCTGTAGTCCCAGTTACTCTGGAGGCTGAGACAGGAGAATTGCTTGAACCTGGGAGGGGGAGGTTGCAGTGAGCCAAGATCATGCCACTGCATTCCAGCCTGGGTGACAGAGCGAGACTTCGTCCAAAAAAAAAGATACATGTAATTCATGAATTTTGAAGTTTAAGCAGTGTTTCTCAGAACACACAGAGCGATTTTTCTTGACAGGTTTCAGGATAATGCCTACCTCTCTTTACTTCCAGGAAGAGGGTTCTCAACTCTACCTGCACAGTAGAAGCATCAGCTTTTCAAATACCCATGCTTGCTCACCCATCCCTACCTGATGAAGTAGTATTGGGTAGGAGCTGGGCATAATATATTTTTGAAAGCTTTCCAGATGATTCTAAAGTGTATCCAGTGTTGATAATAAAATTACCTACTAATGCCTTTCTGTTCTCTCAGCTTGAATACAAAAAGTCTAAGACCAGGCTTCTACGTTAAAACTAGACACACTAATGTAGGTCACCATGGGATAATGAGGAAAGCACACAATTATCTTAATTTCTGGGTGAACTTGTAATGACTGAAAACCAGACCCAAAATTGTCTGCTAATAGTTAAAGGGAAGGATTTGGGGACTATGGCTAATACATAACTTAAGATAAAACTAAGATACAATGGGCAGTGTGGAAGGAAAACCAAATAGCAATCAAAGCTATGCAATAAGAAAGGAAAGGGCTATGCTTCAGCATTGCTATAATAATTAGCAATTCCGATTGTTAGTGGTTTAAAACCAATAAAAGTTCATTTCTTGCTCAGGGTAAATATTATACAAGAGTTGACAAAGAGCTCTACTTCACAGTCACATTCACAGTGTTAGGATAACACATGAATTTAAACTCAAAGAAATACTAAAATATGAAAATCAAAATACCATATCTTTCTAATTTGGACCCATACTGATAAAAGTTACTGCTGTTTTTGCTCTCCATCCTCAAAAAAGAATGATAGCTGTGTTAAAGTGGTCTATATATATTTATTATTATTAATCAATAGATTGTCCCTCAAGGCAAAACTGACTTTATTCAAAGCTGAATTCAGCAACAGAGGAAGAAAATAAAATATGAGTGTTAATGAATTTTTAAGCCATGTTAGCCCTGCTTACCAGGCATATGGTTTAGGAGTTTGACCTCTCAGAATAGCAATTCTCTCTCACATCTGCATAGGTGTGAGGGTGGCTGGTGGATAGAGCTAAGAAAGAAGCTAAGATATGGAACTGTTGGCTGTTCCCTACATGGCATCGCTAATTATGAATAACAAATTGGCATGGAGCGTACTATATTCTTAAATGGCTGCCGTATGTAAAAATAAATCATAAGACCTGATGACATCAGAAAACAAAGAATACAGCAGGTAATACTGACAGGATGTATTCCTTAATATCATCCGATGTATGTTAACTCATGAATATTATTGTATGGGACTTAAGTTCAGTTGGTTGAACACCAAGTTCCTGACATCCGTTAGCAGTGTGATCCAAATCCACATGTGCCTATCTACCTCTTGGAAATAAGAGAAGATGAGATGAAAGAGGCTGGATGTATCGGTTAAAATACTTTCCCCTTTTCCAGTAAAAAAGTCAGAATATGGGCCTCTTTTAATCTTAGAAACAACACTTCAGGAATAAAATAGTAGTCCTTCTCTAAGTTCTAGTACGTTATTGAAACACCCTGCTGTGAGCAAATTCCCTCTTGAGGAATTTAGGACTATGACATGGGTTTAGGAATTGATCACATAGGGACCAGTGACACAACCCTATAAATGTTTTTATATTAACCAAAATAAAAGGAAACTCTAACATTAAATAGACTAGCAAGGGCACACAATATATTTTAAATGAATAATTACTGATATTCTAAAATTAATTCTCATTTTCCTTTTCTTCCTTACTGGAGCTACTTCAGGATCTTCTGTCCTCATCATTTTAGTGAGAGGCTTATTAAAGAATTTTGTTTTGTTGCAATCTGTGACATACTGAAGTGGAGTTTGGTCTTGTATAGAAATGTTCAATGTCTTTCTGCTCTTCTGACCTACATTGTTGAGTTCTGCTTCCAGACACCCAACAAAACCATAATAATATATGTACTTTATATATTGAGATAAAGGAGAAAAATGCAAAGCAACAATAATATTGTGGGTAGTCTTGCAACTTTTTCAGTGTATTACAGAGGAGTAGATTTTATGAAGGCCTAATCCTACCCAACAAACATGCCCCAAAACAAAGAGACAGTTAGTTATTTAGAATTAGCTTCATGCATGAACCTAACCAATGCCAGCATAAATCAGAATACAGAAGAAGATCTGGGCCAGACTTCGTGAAAATCTCTGACACTTTTAACTGCTTCGCATCTAACAGAGAAGGCTTGGGGTTATTTGCATCATCTTCCTATCTCAGTCTTAAGGCAACCTGTGAAATCTGCCATCATACATTGCTGACCACCAGTGCTTTATTTATCTTTATGCAAGAAAGTTGGAAAAGATGCTTCCTTCTCAAGACGTGATGTTAGCTGTGTTGATAAGATCATGGACTACTCAATCTGTTTTTATCTTCTGCCTTTACCAATAAATAAATAAATAAGAAAATAAGACAAAAAAGGGAAACAAATTTACATTCTTCCAGGATGATGATCCATACCATGATCTTTCATAGTACAATGTACTGTGAACAAATACATTTCTAAGATTTACCATTTTTTATTTCTTTTAGAAACCTGGGACACTATACCGTGATTTCAGGAAGAAGCAACAGGACCATACTTCATCTGTGATTTCTTCTCTGCCTTTCACCAGGGCTCCTTTTCTCTCTGAAGTATCACTTCTCACACACATTCCCAATTTTCTCAAAATCCATATCTACTAAAACTGCAATTTTCCATGTTGAGGAAGAACTTTTTGAATCAAATTATCAAGGGAAGAAAAAGTATATGAGGATAGACCAAATTAAGAAATTGCAAATCAAAAATCTGTTAGGGTATATTTTGCATTGAACATATAGTACTAAGTGCATTAATAAGAAAATTTAATGGTTCTATTCAAATAGAAGCATTTGTCTTTCCCTCGCTTTAAGAAGTATTCAAAGCTATGATGGATTATTTTTCATATTGTGTTTGAAAGAGCAAGGATATATAAAATAATTTCCTATTTTGATTTTAAAGAAAAAATATTATTTTGGATAGAAAGTTTCGTAGCTTGCATGTCACAAACTTTCTCAGACATAATTTGGTAAAGACAAGCATGTTAGTGAAGTGGCCTCCTTTGGGGCTGGACCTCATTCCCGACTCTACAGAGGTGTGGACTATTGTAGAATACTCATATGCAGTCCTGATCTATGCTGCTAAACTAACCACCACTAAGGGGTTCCTTAGCTGTTCCTCTTCAAGGGGAACTCTGGGCCTCAAAGGAATTCAATCCTATTTTCATGTGTTAGGCATCCTTTGGACCATACTACCCAATATAGATCTATAAAGGAATACCTAGGGAAGCTTAGAGAAGGTCTGGAGAATAAGTGGGATGGCTCCAAAAATAATATTATGGTTCACACAATTAATATACATTTATCAGAGACCTACTGTGTTTCCCACACAATTTTTTCTATCCTTCTCTGTTTGCAGGTAAATACTCAGTTAACCAAGTCATAGCTTCGTTTTTCTTCAAAGGCAAATATTTAGTGAAATATATTTGGTATTTTTCCTCTTCTAATAAATAGACCAACATATATTTGAGACATCTAACCTCCTTGCAAGAATCTCAGAAGACACTAAGCCTGTAAGTTAGCATCACTGCTAATCATTTCAAATTTTAAGGGTTACCATTATGTTTGCTTCTGTATCTTCCTTTATGTTTGTTTTCCATGTGTTTAAAGTGCTAATGACATTCACTGCTTTTGCGATTTATCAGATTAGCACTGCTGTAACAGTTTATGATGTTACATTTTACAAGATTCACTTAATATAACTTTAATTATCACTGAAAAATGGCTTCTAGTCATAAAAGTACTTTAAAAATTACAAGCTAAACCTACCCTAAATTAAAAGTCAGGGTTCATGCTGTTAACAATTTTATAAAACAAAAACATCCCATGGTACAGTAACTCAAAATTAAAATATCCATATTTTAAATAATAAAAACACATTTAGAATTATAAAACTGCCAAATAAAATGGATTCTTTCTGATACTTTATAGCATTGTAGAAAATCACTGGCGTGACAATTATGGGGTATTACCAATGTGTGTTATTTCAGGAAACGAGGTTTAGTTTGGAATCTTGGCATTTAACCACCATATGGTAGCTCTAAAATATAATGTGATGGTAAAAACAGTGGAAGAACCCATTGGAAGCTAAGTACCATAAAGATTGTACTTGCGTAATAGATAAACTGAATTTTGAATCATCTACAAAAGAAACTCATTAAAAGCGTTAAATAATGACTCTTAGGCACCAATATTGCCAACAATATCTTAAGATTTTGTGCAATTTTTAATTTAAGAAGCTCTATTCCAGAGGATATTGTAAACAAAAATATCAACTCCTTATTCCAATCAAAACCAGTGTATAATTAGAATATTTATTATTTCACATAACTATTTGTTCCTTCCTGAACATGCTATAGGATTTCTACCTCTCTAATTTGCTTAAATTGCTTCCCCTACCTCTTACTGGAGTGTTTTCTATACTTCTCAATAGTGCTCTACTACCCACCTCAATTTGTATTAGGTCAATTACTTTGAAGACCTTGTTTAAGGCCTGAGGGTTAAGAAAATCTAGCATTATATACAATTTCTATCTAGAACACTAAAGGGTTGGATAACAATGTCAAGGATTAAAGACCTTAACAGCTTAAAATATTAGATCATGTGTCCAAAGGCAGATCTGAAATTTACAGATTAGTTAATCAGGGGAAAAAGATAGGCTGGACTAAAACATGACTAGCCAAAAGTCCTATACCTTATCTAAGATTCAAGGCATATGTTCAAGCCAGGGTCATTGGCTATTAACAAAAAAAACAAGAAGACAGGTGGCTAGCATTTGGAAACCTGGTAGATGATATCAGAAAACCAGCTCTGAGAAGTTGGTTCAGGGACAGAAAATTCATTTTCTGGGAGATCTAGTAGGTAAAAGTGGTGGTTCAGAGAGAAACTCATTTATATAAGCCAAACAGAAGTTTAGTTACTGTGAATTTGAGGCATAAGGTGAGAATTTACTCACAGATTTATAAAACAGAAACTCAGATAATGGATGTAGTGCTTAGGTCAGAGTGGAGACGAATAGCCTAAGAACCAGAATGGGCAAAGTGCTTGGGCAGAAGTTCTCCTACATCGAGAGTTAGAAGCCTCAGGCATAAACAAAACTGAAAAACAGACTCCCTCAGAAAAAAATAAGAACATAAAAACAAAAATTTCCATGTGATTTCAAAAAATTCTTGATGTTTATGAAGTCCATCTGTGAATCCTTTATGGGTGCATGGACCACTTTCACAAATAGCTGGATCTCCAGATACATGTTTAAAGCCTGGAAAACCATTGCTGTACTTTTCTGGGGAGTTAGTCATCTGCCCCAGCTTTGACTTCTTAACTCCTGTAGTAATTTTTATTTCCCTCACTTATGTTGAATATTTAGAATATACTATTAGTGTATAGTGTTAAAAATATGTTTATGATCTCTCTATCCCTGATGTCTGAGATCGTATCGTAAATCTCTTTGCCCTTTATTTTCCAGGAACCTGGCACAAGGGCTATTGATAAAGATTTGCAGATGATGGTGACTTTATAAGACAGAACCAGGAGAGCTGGCAGGCATTGACTTTGAAAATTCAAAATGTTCAACAATTTTGAGGGAAAGGGGTAAATTTATTTACCTTGAAAACCGGATATTGCTCCTGTGAGTTTCCAAATATCAGATAAACAGCTGTTCTGATTAACCACATCAACATTTAATCCTTGCCACGGAAATCTCACAATCCTCAATATTATGAGAGAGAAGGAGTGAGTGAGAACACGATCGGTATGATTAACTTAAAATTATTTAAATGAGTGGATTTTTAAAAAAATCATCTTTCATGTACTTATAGAAAAAGTGATTAAATACATTGAAAAGAGAAAATTTTAAGAGACTTTAAAAGTGTACGATTAAAACCAAATGAATGGAAGAAAGAAAAAGGAAATGAGGCTCAAAATCAGGAAAGATTTTGGTAGCAGAGCCATTATCCTGAAGTACATAGAAGTGGATAGGAGGATTACAGATATTGTGAATAGACAAGACTTCTCATTGCCCTAGAGTACAGACTAGAGTTTGAAGTTAGTTTTTTCCTATACAACTAGTGAGATGCTTTGTGAACTAGTTGGTACTATTGTGGTGCTGAAAAATTTTGCTCTCATTTTGCTTATAAGAATGTTTATATTTATGAAAGGATTGATGGTTTTCTGTTTTAGGACTATATCTTCTTTTCCTTTGTGCTGGTGGAGGCTCACGTGCATGCACCCATTCAAGTACACACACACACAAAGAGAGAGAGAGACAGGGAGACAGAGAGACAGAGAGAGACAGACAGGAAAAGGAGGGACCTATCTCTCTCATTGCTTTGAGGTATGAACTTAGAGATATCTTACTTCTAACTTCTTGTTACTGTTATGACTGACATGACTGACTTCTGAGTCCTATTAACACTGGTTGGAAAGACAGAGACATTAATCCCACAGTCAAGTTGTCTCACCAGCTGGCCTCAGTGATTGCAGTATGCGTGCCCAAAACATTGTCCATATGGAAGTTCTACCCAACTCAACTTCCCAGTGGGAGAGGGGCAGAGACATGATGGTATCACTTGGTCAATTGAAGTGTGACAACTAAGAGCAAAGAGAAGAAGGAGGCACACTTTAAAAATGCACAGAAGTATTACATAATAATATATTCTAAGCTGCAACCAGTAGTCAAAGTAGATCTTAGAATGCAAATTCATAGGCTACTATGCTGGAAAGAACCTTGGAGCTCTCCCAAAACAGCCTAAATTGCAATCCTTAGATGGAGAAATTGAGGTCCAGTGAAGTAAAGATATTTGCCTGGGAGGGGAGGGTTATATGCCTGATTAGCAATGGCAGGTAGACCAGCATTTCAGACTTTTGGAGCCAAGGTTTTGAATGACACTCGTTGTTAGAGGCAATTTTCTAGCCAATGCCCTTAAAAGACTTGCAGTTAGAAAACAAGGGAATGTCCATATACCTGAATAATTTTAAAAAGTATTGGCTGCCAATCATTTTTTAAAATTCCTTTCCATTATAAAGATATCCATCTCTGCTAGTAATAACACCTTTGAAGAAGAGAGAGATGCACACACACACACACACACACACACACACACACACATACGCACACAAACTTTAAAAAGCACTATCATCTTTACCCCTTCTCTTAGGGGTAAAGTAGCCCCAAGAGTTCAATTTGTAGCTTCACTCTACTCAGAGAAAACCCCTGAAAATATAGTGTACTTCCTGACTTAAAAAGCCATTTGCCCCCATTTCATTTCATTAGTCTCCTAAGGACAATTGCATTTATTTCTTCACCTTCTCATTCAAAAAATAATTGTTGTGCATCTACTGTGTTCTAGATATCATTCTAGGTTAAAGGAGTAAATACAGTGACAAATAGAATAGAAAAGTCCTTCTCATTATTGAACTTCAATTCTGGTGGATACAACAGAGTGCACAAAATTATCACATACCTTTCATGAGGCTGCACATTTATAGTTTAAACTGTCTCCTGCAAAGGGAATGGGAGATTTGTCTAAATAATTTTCTAATGTCCTTTCCAATCGTATTATTTTATACCAGTCAGAGTAATAGTGGATATTAAAAGTGTAATAATAAATCAAAATGTGAACATCCACTGTGTTACAAACTCTCATTCAAAGAGCAAAACCACAATATCCAGATGTGTTTCTTTCTCCCTTTTCCTCTTAAGCAGTCTCATTTATATTTTTTACAAACATTCACTATTCCTACCCTTCACTCAGAATGCTAAACTATTATAGGAAAAAGTTTTTAAAATCTCATTTAGTTATCTAAAAACCAGTCAGTCCCAGCCAATTCAAGGTGATCTCAGTTCATTTCTCTCCTCTCCTTCCCTCCCTCCTGTTCTTCTTGCCAGCACTTGCATGACACCCAGGCCTTCATAAATGAATTACTTGCTGTGATGAAGACCAGAAGTCATTTTCCCCTTAATCCCCTTCCTGGAGTCCAGCAGATTGAAAATGTACCAACTTTGTTTTCTGAAGCTAACCAATGTAGGTCCAAACTCTGTATGGAATTCAGGACAGGTAAATGGGAAAATAAAATAGTATAACCTCAAATACTCCATTTTCATTTTGGTTTAAGTGCTCTGGTGTATACAAGATTTAACATAGAAGAAACTAAAATAAAACCTTGTGATATAGTCAGCAAATCATTTGCTTTGCATTTATTAGCTGCTTTTCTATAATACAATTTACTATCATTTTCTATGTTCTCCAATTCCACTTTCCTAAACTTGATTTCCTAATGAGTATTAATATTAAATCACTATGAAGTGGCATATTATTCATAGGAAACATAGTTGCCAACTAAACAATGTATCAAAATTCAAGTTTGATTTTTAAAAATTTCATGTTTTTATTTATTGCTCCTGAGAAATGCTTGTGTGCCTCTGAAACCCTAGGAAAATGTAGGGGCCTGTGCTTTTCTTAATCAACAAATATTTATGTGGTAAATAGAATGCCTTTGGCCAAGAACTCACATGTCGACTTGCATCCTGATGAAAATTTAAATAGCTGATTAAACTCCTCAAACACAGGATTTATAATGAATGCCACTATCATTTTGCAAAGTAATTTAATGCATATTTAGCGCGATTATTATCTGCTCTCTTTTCATAAGGAGACCCAGCTGTGATTTTGCAAGTTCAAGAAAGAGAGCAATTGGTATAAGGGCAGCAGTTTGTTGAGAGCTGTGTGAAGAAGGTCTTCTGAGCCTCACTTCACTGGAGATATGTAATTGTAGCTTTGGAAAAACTTCGTGGTGTTGCTACTATATATTGTGTGCATGTTGAGTAAAGTAGATAAACAAATATAATATCCAACACTCAAGAATTCAAAAAAATTATTTGGAACTTACTATCTTTAATTAGATAAACACATTTAAATGAGCACACTCATATGGTATATTCCTTATTATGTAATGGAACACAAAGTAAGCTAAGGACATAGGGAGATAGCAGAGTATTGCCTTATAAGGTGTGTGCACACACATACACACACACACACAGAGATAGAGAGAAAGAACAAATACAGACTGAAGTCAATCTTCCTCCACTATGTGAATAAACCATAAACACTTAAGGTCTATCTAAATTAAGCCAATAAAAATTCTCCCAATTTCCAAAGATCTCAATTTCCTCAGAAATTGTTCCTGGACTCTCCCAAGTAGAGAACTATTTTTAAAAATTATTATTATGAACTCTCAATTCATATTCTTCTAAAGTAGTGGAATGTTCTTTGGAGAGAGCCTTTCAAATCAATTTTTGCAAGGGAACCATAGAAAACACGGTGCTTCACAGATAGGGAGAAGGAAGACAGTGAGAAACCAAGGAAATGATGAGAAATGTATCTTCAGATGAGAGTTAAAATGAACCCAGCCAATGTACTCTCAAAATTTATTTCCAAGTTAAGTTTGTAGTATATACCACCAGCATATTCTCATTTTATATCCTTTTATGAGGGGGAAAAAGGCTTATTCAGTGTATCATATTTTGCATATTTTCTTTCTGCTGCTTTTAATAAAAATGTTATTAAATCTTTCCAGTGCATTTTGGCTTCATTTACTAACAGTGCTCAGCCTGTATGTGCATGTCTGAAGCAGCCTTCTTCCCGTAGGCTCCTGAAATCTTATCAGCACAATTTCCCTTCCCAAAAAGCATAATAAAAAACCTTGGTCTCTGAACCCTATTTAAATTGACATGTTTAGACTATTAACTAAAAATATGTCAATTCTTGCCTCTCTTTAAATGAAATTCAGGATTATCTATAGACATTGAAAATAATTGGAAAAAATAGTCTAGAAAATAATATTCTTTAACAGATAAGACACATTAGTATTTTCTTTAGAGGGAATGTAATAAAGGTGCCATGTGCTATCTTTAGTACTCAAGGGCATTAATCATACAACCCCCTTCCCTTCACCTGATGCCCTCTGGAGGAAAGATGAGGCTGAGAGGGAAGATAATCTCCCACCTTTTTTAAAATGGGGAAATAGACAAAAAAAAAAAAAAGCACTGAGAGATTTTTGTTTTTTAATTTGGGTTACATTAGTATAAAAAAATGCACCAGGGCCCTTGGAGCCGGAGCCTCCACAAGGTTAAACAAGAGTTGATTGCAACCCTCTCGACCTAGTGCTTAAAACCAAAAGGTAACCAGGGGGAACTGAGAAAAAAGATGTTGTCCAGAGCATCAGTTATTATGACTTCTAACTAAATTTTCTGGGGTACTCCAATTTCATATAAATATAGACTTTGGAGTCTATATTTTATAACCACTGTTGACTTCTTCAGTGGATGTTTATTTAGTTGCTTTATGCATTTCGGCAGGAGCTGAAAGGGAAGGAAAGCAATCTTTCAGAAATTCTCAAAAGTATTCAAGCTCTAATAAAAAAGTGAGGAGAAGCAGTAGGGAAAAAAGAGGAGGGACAGATCTCAATGTCTTTCCTCCCAGAGAAATCAGTAAATCAGACAGAGTTTAGATAGCGTTGCTCAAATTACACTAGCTTCAGCTTTAGAGAACTCTTTTCCTCAGCACTGAGAGGAAATGAGAGAGGGTAAATCCTCTTGAAAGCACTGACGGTAAGAAATGGAGGTAGCTTTTTTTTTTTCCAAGTCCATTTGAATTATGTTTTCACAGAACAATTCAATATGTATTCTTAAAACGTATGTGTCATGGAAGTGTGAGATACATTCATGTTCAAAACCAAAAATAACATTACTTGGGAGTCAATATTTGTGATCTACTTTACAAGCTTCATTGTTTCATTCCACCAGCCACTCCAGCACACAGTTTAACAAATATCTCTTAAAGCTCTATTATACAATTAACCTCTCTAGCTATGACTGTAGGGGATGCATTAAAAAAAAAAAAAGAAAAACTGTGACCTGTAAGATGGCTGCCTACTCTAAAAAAACTTACAGATTAGTTGAGGCGTCTAAACCTAGAGTTATTCTGCTGATTGTAAGAAGGATTGTCCCCTGCTCTGGGTGGACAGGAAGTAAAGCTTAGTCAAAGGGATTTTGTATGAAGAGTGCAATTCAGTGGCAGGCTGGATCAGTTCAATTGACTTTTCTAATTTTGAATACATGTTAATAAAAAGGGTTTTTATAGTCAGTGAAAAATAGAGTGGCAGATTGTTCGTGCTCTCTTGAACTATGGACTTAGCCAGTGAACTCTCTATGGTCTATCCTACACAGAGTGAGTTCTATAACCTACGTTGTTTCTCTGCTGGTATCCCTGTTGCTGTCTTTTCTTTCTTTTATTGGCAAACAATTTTTTGATTTAATACGGTTATTAAAAGGTGGACAAGTAATACTGCTAAAACTGCTGTTAAGACACAAGAGAGGATTATGATAGTACACTTAAGGTGCAAATTTTAGAGTAGTTTGAGGCACCATCAAGATCATGGTCAAAGAAACATGTAGTGAAGATCAACAGCCACATAGGTATTGGAGGAAGTCTAACATTACTAATGGCCTTGTACAATTATTGTAATTGGGAGTAACCACCCACAAATGTATGGCTAGTAGCTGGAAGAAAAAATAGTTGGAAGTGCATCACAACGTCAGGGATTTAAGGAGAAGAAAGGGTGATTACTAACTCTTTGTATCTGGAAGAGTTACAAGTACTAACTGGTATCTGGAAGCAAGACTCAACAGGGCTACACAATAATAATACTGTACAGAAATTATCTCATTTGAATTACCACTTCCAGGAACACATCCCCAATGTAACCAGAGTCTGCATACAGTCTTTTCTAGGAGAACAGAGGAAGCTTTCTGTTTGGTTTACCCAACAGTAAAAGGGTTTTGAGCCATGCAACTTCAATACATGTGTATTTACTTCTTCATAACACACTACTAAAGTAATCAGAATTTTAAGTGTTTGTTACATTACAGAACACGTTTAAAAGCATGACATAAGGACTAAATTCACCATAACTTTAAATATTCTTTTTAAATTAATAGGACAAACTCTTTTGACTCCTTCCACAATATTGTTTATAGTAAATGTAGTAGATAATGTCTTATTTTGTGAGATTTTGGCTTAAATTTTGTGATTCAGATATTTGAAGGTCTGGTTTTAAGTCCAGTTTATTTCAATATTTGATTTTACTTGCTGTCATAGTTGAAAGGCTAGCTCGGCCGGGCGAGGTGGCTCATGCTTGTAATCCCAGCACTTTGGGAGGCCAAGGCGGGTGGATCATGAGGTCAGGAGTTCCAGACCAGCCTGGCCAACATGGTGAAACCCCATCTCTACTAAAACTACAAAAATTAGCCAGGCGTGGTGGTGGGCACCTGTAATCCCAATTACTTGGGAGGCTGAGGCAGGCGAATCACTTGAAATCAGGAGGCAGAGGTTGCAGTGAGCCGAGATTCCACCACTGCACTCCAGCCTGGGCGACAAGAGCAAAACTCCGTCTCAAAACAAACAACAAGAACAACAACAACCAAAAAAGAAAGGCTAGCTCAAAAACATACATAGTTTCAAACAGAAGTATATACTAGCTATGTTTACTAAATCATGAAACTTATTTTTCAATCTCATCTACCAATTACACAAAAATTTCTGCTGAAATTCAGATAGTAAATTTTCATCTTCTCTGCTATTAATCAGTTGCCCTTAACAAACAAATTGGAATGTGATAATTTTCTGATTTTTTTTAAACTAATGGGTTCAAACTCACTGAACAAAATCATTTGGAAGATTTTTAAACAGGTGAGAAAATTTAGTTTTTCAATTTTGTAAGTACATCCAATTTTGTAGATACAAGAGATTTTATATGTGACATTATTTTCAGCAATAAATGACAAAGCAATAAACTTTCAGCAATAAAATTACAAAGCAATGAAAACTTCTAAATATCCATTTCTGAAATGCTCTCTGAATAGAGAGATTTTTTAAAAATTACCTTTTACTTTCTCACTTATGTTTTAAATTTCACCCTTCTTTGAGAGAGATATTTAATGTATGTGTGTGTATATATATATACACATACATATAAATATATATATATTTCAGATAGCATACTGCTGGAAGTCATTTCCTTCATAAAAATTTAGCAAACTTAAAATATGTATCTTTTTATAAAATAGAAATATTTAACTTAAATTTTAACAACTGTTTTTAATATTTTGTCAAAAGATAAATGGCAAACCTCTGTGTGAAATTTCAATGTTACTTCACTTCTCATTACAAAGTATTTAAAAAAGAAAAATTTCTTGGTCTTCTATTTATAAAAATAATTACCTTGGTGGCAATCAATGGCATGTAAGCTATACCTTTGTTACAAGACACTAAAATCAAATGAGTAAGACCAGCATTGTCAACACCTCCACTTTGAGAAACTTCCATTTTTCCTTCAGAATGTCTCAAGGGCCTGGCTTGCTGTCTACGATGCCAGTGAGTGCAGGAACCAGTGTTGATCCATATATTGATTAAGAGAAAAGCTTAATATTTTATATAAAAAGTAATATAAAGAGAAGCTCTAATTATATTTTCTTTGCTCTGGTGAATGCCTTTGTACACCCCAGGGAGCACAGCACTGTGAAGACTACTGCAGAGTGTGTGGTAGCTCCTATCTGGGTTTTTACACATAACTATTTTTATTTATTTATTTATTTATTTATTTATATTTTAGAAACAGGGTCTCATTCTTGCCCAGGCTGGAGTGCAGTGGTGCGATCATAGCTTACTGCAGACTCAAACTCCTGGGCTCAAACACCTCCCTCTTCAGCCTCCTGAGTAGCTGAGACTATAGGTGTGCCACCATGCCCATCTAAATTTTTGTTTTTTATAGAGATAAGTCTTGCTATGTTGCCCAGCCTGGTCTCAATTCCTGGGCTCAGGTGATCCTCCCGCTTCAGCCTTCCAAAGCACTGGGATTACAAGTGTGAGCCACCGCCACCAGCCTACATAACAATTTAGAAAACATGAACAGAAGAACTTCAGAAGAGTAAGTGAAAATTTGGGATCTGAACTATAATTCAAAGTTGAATCATACAGATGCTATAAACTCTACAGCCCACGCCTTTAACTGTCACACACACACACAGCCTTTGCAGTGGGAGGTGGAAATGACTAGCCTGCTCCACTCACCAAGATGCATTTATGACAAGAGACAAAGAAAGAATACATCTTGTGAGAAACTAGAAGTCCAAGAGGAAAATGGACAGCTTTTTTTTCTGCCCATGGGCCATAGAAACCTTACCATTTGTATAAAACCAAGGGGTGCTCCCAACTTTGACAAGAATGGTATGTTCTTTTTTCCTGGGTAAAAGGACTAAAAGGGAGTGTGGTGGAGGGACCCAAATAATTCTCATTGGCACTTCCAAATTGAAAGAATAAAGCAGGAAAACCTTCCCTAAGGGCTGAGTTCTCCCACTATCTCTCAGCAGTTAAGATAACTTATTCAACCCTTTTTAGTCTTTGTGTCCCATGTAAAACAGACTGGAATACCTGTGCCAGGCTTAAGTGAATGTGTTTCATAAAATGTAAAATACTATAAATGTGAGGATGGGTCAGGTAGGTCCTTGTTGCCCTCAGTAGTTCAAGAAACTGACAAACATCCAGTGCTCAGGGCTACCTGGTGAATGAAAGGAGGAAGAGAATACATTCAAATTAAGACAATTTCAAAGAAATTGGCTTTCAATTCACAGCTTGGGTGGATGCAACTCTTCCTCCCACAGCCAGCTGTGCACAGAGAAAAACCTAGTCCCTGTATTGGGTAGCACCTGGTCTGCCTAGAAAGTTTGAGGAACAGTTCTATTTCTGGCCATCTCAGAAGTACCCAAGCACTCCTCCACAACATGCAATTGAATCAGTACTTTCCTTGGACTGCCAGTCTTTTGTTTATTCCTATTATGTATTATAAGGCCTTTATAGACAAAATTCTCATTAACACCCCTTTTTGTCTTCCCAAAAGAGTTAACTAAAACATGACTCCTCTTCCTCAAGCTGTGGAAACCACATTCAGGGAGAAAAACAAAAAGATACCCTTGTCTAAAAATCCTGTGTTTTTTGTTCTACAAACCATGGAACTTCACTCTTATAGAATTGCTTATGAAAGCTTCTTTCAGTATAGTATTAGGGTATAAGTGATAAATGAAATGAACGGTATAATTCATAACAAGATAGTTCGTAGATGTTTTGCCTTTGCTAAAAGTCAGAACTCTGTCATACTTTCCTTCATTAAAAGCTCTCAAATAACCATTCTTATTATAAGCCTGATAGTCTGTATGTTATATATTTGAAAGTCATATATTATGTAACAGATCTGAAAATAAACTTCAGATACATTTGTGAATCAATTTTCTTACTCCTAAAGCTACTATTCCATCTTTCCTTCTCTTTACCATCATACTTCTATAACAAGAAGTAGGTCTCCTTTTATCAGCATCTTGTAGCCTGGCTTCTTCTCTCATCAGTAGACTGAAGCTGCTTCCTTGGAGATCATAAGCTGAGATATCATCCATCTTAAAGTCATAAAACATTTGACATTAACATCCTGTCCTAGAAATTGTCTCCTCTGCTGATTCTAGGCATAATGTCTTATTGTTTTCTGAGTGCACTATGCAGTTTCGTATCTCTGGTCCCTGGTTTTTTTTCCTAGAATACCTAACCTGACGGCAAATGGGATGTCACTAAATCCTACACACACATGTGACACAAATGAGAAGGCTCTCCACCTCTCAGAAGCCTTCCTGAATACCCAGTGATATTAAATCTACCCTTTGACACCTCCTCACCACACACACAGCGTGGAGTCAGCCTCTTCTGCTGGAGCATTTAAGTGATTGTATCTCATGTTATTTGTCTACATGTATATTTAGCAAAGGAGGTTTTAAGCCTCCTGAATCATAATGCATAGAAGATGCTCAATATATATTCAATAAAAGAATGAAAGATTTAAAGAATGACTAGAAATCTTGTACAGAATTGGTATAGGAGAATGGGGAGGATAAATCACTTTTTTAAAAAAGTCTTCACATCCTCTCCAGCACCTGTTGTTTCCTGACTTTTTAATGATCACCATTCTAACTGGTGTGAGATGGTATCTCATTGTGGTTTTGATTTGCATTTCTCTGATGACCAGTGATGATAAGCATTTTTTCACGTGTCTTTTGGCTGCATAAATGTCTTCTTTTGAGAAGTGTCTGTTCATATCCTTTGCCCACTTTTTGATGGGGTTGTTTGTTTTTTTCTTGTAAATTTGTTTGAGTTCATTGTAGATTCTGGATATTAGCCCTTTGTCAGATGAGCAGTTTGCGAAAATTTTCTCCCATTTTGTAGGTTGCCTGTTCACTCTGATGGTAGTTTATTTTGCTGTGCAGCATTGTGCACATGTACCCTAAAACTTAAAGTATAATAATAATAAAATAAAATACATAAAAATAAAAAAACATAAAATTTTAAACTAAAGGGCAGGGAATATTATAACAAACACCAATGTTTAACACTATCCAGAAATAATAAAAAATAACAAATGTTGACATTTCATTTGCCACAATTTTTTTTTGTTTGTTTTTAGAGATGGAGCCTTGCTCTGTCACCCAAGCTGGAGTCCAGTGGTGTGATCTCGACTCACTGTGACTTCTGCCTCTCGGGTTCAAGCTATTCTCCTGTCTCAGTAACCTCAGTAGCTGGGATTACAGGCATGAGCCACCACACCTGGCTAATTTTTTTGTACTTTGAGTACATACAGGGTTTCTCTGTGTTAGCCAGGCTGGTCTAGAACTCCTGAGCTCAAGAAATCTGCCTGCCTTGGCCTCCCAAAGTGCTGGGATTACATACATGAGCCTCTGCACCTGGCACCACAAATATTTTTAATTTTAATTTAACAAAACATTTCTGAAACAATTGAAGATCCCTTAGTATCCAATCTATAGTTGCATTTTCTTCTCTTTCGTGATAGAATTGTTCTATATCTTATCCTTCGGAATTTCTTATTTTAAATACTTTTTACATATTCAATAATGCAAAAACAACGCCAGTATTTTTTTGTGCATTTTAAAAGTTTAAATAAGTTATATCACTATGTAACTTGTTTCTTCGTCTCAATATAATGCTTTTGAGATCAGTCCATATTGGTATGTAATGATCTGGTTCATTCACCTTAATTGCTATACATGTCATTTTGTAAATATACAATTTGTTTAATCATTTTCTTATTGATAGATAGAAAAACTTTCCCCAGATTTTTGCTCTTGCTAATAGTACTGCCTTGAGTATACTTGTATCTGTGTCCTTTGCACATATGCAAGTGTTTCTCTAGAATATATGCATAGAAGCAGAATTGTTGGTTTATGAATGTTTGCATTTTCAACTTTAATAGATACTGCCACATTGATCCCAGAAACTGTGACTTAGGATGGAGACATCTTAATAAAATGTGAATGTAATAGACAAAACAAGAACTTATTTCTGTCATCACTGACAGTCAGAGCTAACTAGATTACCAGTCAGTGAGAAATACATAAATATTAGGAATTGGCAATTCACCTGCTGCTTACCAATAATCAAGTAAACCTAATTTATAAAGATACTGGTGTTAAGCTTCTGTGAATTTTTTTCTAGTATACAAAGTTGATCCCTCTTTAGCAGATATTAGTCTTGATGAAAATATCAAGTAAGCAAAAACTAAAGTTTCTTTTTTTCTTTATATTGCCTACTATTTTATTGATATCTCCATTCTTCTTTTATCTTCTTCCCTCTCCTTCCTCCAGATCCCCAGGGATATGCAAAGTTTCCAGGGACATATGTAGCACCAGGGCTTTCCAGAGTTCTCTACAGTCAGTGCTGCAGGCGCATCACTGAAATTCTGCTGTCCCAGAGCACACGGCCCATTCTGATCTGGCAGCTTAGCTGCTCATTTGTCACAGGAGAGCATGGAAATATTTGTCGAAGCACTGAGGCCATGTGACTAGGGCCCAGATGACTCAGAATCGCTATGCAGGTTTCTTAGGTATTATTCCCTCTGTGCTTCACTCTAGGGGAGTGAAGATTTACTAATCTCGGGAATTTCCTATTTTTTCCTCTTCCCTACTTTCTTGAAATCCAGTCCCTCTATCTCCCTCATTCTCATTATCTCTCTCTCCCTCCACCCTTTCCTTTTATCTTCAAAAACCTTCCACTCCCTTCCTTTCCACTACAAAAACACTTAAGGAAATATCCATGGTTTATGAGAGCAAATAACTTTTGTCTTATCTCTGTGGTATTCTATCAATTTGCAACAAAGTTCAAGATATTTCAGGGACAACTGCCACTTTTCGTTGATTAACAAAAAAGGCAATTAGGGACACCAATTAGCCAGAGTGTCGGTTTAATTAGATGAAATAATTATTTTCTGCAGGGCTTGGAAAAGACATGAATAACCACTTCTTAAACTACTGAACAGTTTGAGGAGGACCAATTTGGAATTACTGGCTCCTATTTCTTCCTATTCTTTTTCAAATATGATGGGCACAGAGTGAGCACCAGTACCAGAAAGTTACCAGAAAACACCAGTTGACAATGCCGTACCAATTGTAGAGAAATGAAACTCATCAGAGGAGGTTCAAAGGTCATGATAGTTTTTTGAAGAACTGTTCCTAAATTACTAAACTGCTCAAGGATCTAATTCTCTTTTATAAATATACAACTGGGGAAGGCCAAGAAAATCAAAAGACAACTCGATTCCAAGCCCAATTGACCACCAGGCTTTCATGTTTTCCCAGAGCTCAGTGTAGACACGGTGAGCAAACCTTCAGGGCCTGATACATGGTCCAGTGTGAGCCTTGTCTTGCCTCTGCTGACCATGCTACACAATTTCTTATTCACCCAAGTGCTGGCTTTGTGGCTGTAGAGACTGAAGTATATCAAGACAAAGAAAAATAAATAAAGGTCATCTGTAAGCCCATCTGACTGAAAGGGAAAGCATGTATCCTACTACAAGTTTGGGTCGCTGGGCTAAAAATAGTATCACTGACAAGGAAAATGCAAATGGATGACCATAATCTACTCATTAACCTGAATACTGGAATCAAATGTTATATGGCAAGTGGAAATGGTGGGTGGCAATACGAGTTTCCCTGTTTTATCACACAGTAAGTCTCAGCAACAAAGATTCAAATGTCCTTTCCTGTTGCTTTATTTATAGGTCATTAAACTATTCCCCTGAAGGAGTTCAGCAGGATTTGGGGTAGAATACATCCCTGAAGGAATTATGACACAGAGTTTGCCTCAGTTCTCTTGCCAAGGAAGAGCCTTGGGTAACATAAACACAGGACATGAGACAAGTCAATATCTCCTCTACAGGTGAGGGAGTCCAGGGGAAAACCCAATAGATTGGTACTTAACTAAAGGAAGAGTCAAGGGCTTTATTCCATGAGCTAATTCTCAGCATATGGTCTCTAATCAGGAGTGAAGAGCTGTTTGCAGCAAAATTACTACAACTAGCTGGAGTGAAGAAATCAAGGACTAGCTCTTCATTATTTGCAAGGTAATCTCTTAAATAGAGAGCTGTAGCTGAATTCTGTTAAATATAATGAAGAAATGTATGTGTGAATAAAGGAGACAAAGAATCCAGTATATAATTTTTTTAGTACACTATAAAGATAAATCTTAATTGCTTTGGAGATAGACAAAGGAGTCAAGACAACACTGAAATCAGTGTTCAGTATCCCACTTAATAATTGGCTAATGCAAAGGAAAGGTTAGGAGAGTCACTACTGCTTTTCATTCTACCAGGCTGGAATAAGCAACACTGTGAGGCCAAAGTAAAGGTGAGAAGACCTCAAAGAAAGAAAACCCAGAGAGCTGGAAAACTTCTGGAAAAATGATAATAGCTGATCAAGGCAAGCCAGCCTCCAATCCATTGGTAGAAAATCATAGGACTATTTCATAGGGAAGAAGATGAGTTAGACTGGGATATAAGAAAATAACCTATGCTCATTGGAGAATATAGAGGAAAAATTTCCCCTCATACTCAAATGTCTAGAAAGAGCATGAAATGGCACATGACCAGAGGTTGGAAACCAGTAATCATAATAGCTTGGGGAGTGAAGAGGGGAAATCAAGCACTGAGGCCCAGGGGATGATAAGAACGTGTTTGTACATGAACATAGGTCTTAACAACTGTGAAAAACTGTTTAAACTGGAGAAACTACAGAGATGACCTGGAAACAAATGATAGCATAATAGTTCAATATCTAATTCTGTAGAGGGAAAAGACTTTCATCAGAGGAATAAACTTAGAGAAACAAGTGAATAGCAAGTATCAGATGAAAAAGATATTGGAAATTTAAAAATAATAGCACTCCTAAATAATTGATGAGCAAAAGGAAAAAAAAGAAATTGTACTGAAGATTAGAAAATACTTGGAAAATAATACTAATAAGCTTACAATATGACAAAACTTATGATATGCTGGTTAAGTGTTACTTAGTGGGTTACCTACAACCTTAACTGCTTAGAGAAAAAAAGTTAGAATAAAAATCATGAGTTAAAGGTTATACTTATGAAATTAGAAAATAGCAATAGATTAAATTCAAAGTAGAAAGTAGAAAGAATGAAATAAGCATAATACTAAACATTATTAGGTGTAATATTAAACATTATTAAATAGAAAGCAAAGATAAGATAGAATCAATTAATTTAAATTATGGATCTTTGAAAAGTCTAAGAGAGTAGACACATTTATGACAAGAATTATCAAGAAAAATAATATTTGCAATGATAAAATAATCATAACTACAGATAAAGCAGAAATTTTAAACATGATAAAAGAATATTACTAATGACCTTATACTAACAAGAGTAAAATTTTAAACAAAATGGTTTTCTAGAAAAATAACTTACTAAACGTGAGTCAAAATGAAAGAGAAAACATGAATGAAGCTACAGTAACAACATTACATCAGTCATTAAAAATTTGTCAACTTCAGCTCTGAGAGAAACAGAGACCAGATTTACCCTATTTCTGAAAACAACAACAACAACAAAACAGGACAGAGTTATTGAACAATAACAGGCAAGACATTGTCCTGAGCTCTATGATTGGCCTAGTTGACTGCCAAGACAAAGTTTCCAGGTCACACTGCAGAGAGGGAAAACTCAGTCATAGCACAGCAGTCTCCCTGAGTCAGGAAGATAGAGCTTGGAGTCCTTGGATACCAAGGTGTCTAGAGTTTGAAGTGAGGAGTAAGATAGAGGAGAGACCTATACGGAAACCCCAGAGACCTGCAGAGGTTCCCCCTTGAAAATTTAGTTTATGATCAGTGCATGCGTGAAAGTAAGCAAACTATCCAAATCAAGGTGGAAAACCACATAAACAGATTACAAAGAATAGTGCTTTAGACTCATGCAGAGCAGAGAATAATGGACTCTTCCCAGGTGCTAAAGTGGAAAATCTTATAATTCACAGGGCATCAATTAAAGAAAGGTCTTGCCCCAGTAGCAGGGTTAAATTAATCATAGACTAACTACTGCTGCTCTGGTCCTGCCTAACATATCTTAAGAGCATAACCTAAGAGGATTAAGCTATTCCAAAGTAATTTATCTGCTTCCCAGAACAAATCTCAAAGTCTGCCACCCAGATAAAAATTATCAGGGATGCAAAGCAGCTGAAAAATATAGCCAATAATGAGAAGAAAAATAAAAACTGACAGAGAAATGACACAGATTATAAAACTAGTAGATAAGGACATTAAAAGTTATTTGTAACTGAATTCACATGTTCAAGAAGCTAGGGCAAAGGTTGAATATGCATGGATAATGTAAAAAGACCCAAGCCAAATTCCTAAAGATAAATCATACAATGTTCAAGATTAAAAATACACTTGGTCAGATTAAAGGCAGATTGCATGCTGTAAGACAGAAGATTAATTAATTCTAAAACAGCAATAGAGGCAGGGCACAGTGGCTCATACCTATAATCCCAGTGCTTTGGGAGGCTGAGGCAAGAGAAACGCTTGAAGCCAGGAGTTTGAGACCAGCCTGGGCAACAGAGCGAGACCCTGTCTTTAAAATAAAACTTTTAAAACCAAATACAGAGACATACAAATAGCAACTATCCAAAATAAAATATACAGAACCCCCACCCTCCCAAATTGACAAGACTTACGCGGTGGAACAACCTAAAACAGTCCAATGTACCTGTAGTTGAATGTCCAAGAGGGTGAGGCCAGAAAGAGTATTTTAAGAAATAATGGCTGAGGGAGGAAATGGAGCAACATGGCAGAATAGAAAGATCCACCAATTGTCCCCACTCCCCCTCTGCAAGGACACTAAGTTAACAACTATTTAAACAGAAAAAACACCATAATAAGAACCAAAACTCCAGGGAGTACTCATATTACCTGTTTTTAACTTCATATCGCTGAAAGAGCCATTGAAGAGAGAAAAAACAGTCCTGAGTGGTAGATGCCACTCCTCCTCAACCCTGGTAGTGGTAACAGTACAGTGTCTCTGAGCACTGGGGGAAGAAAGAACACAGCACTTGTGAGGCATTGAACTCAGTGCTGTCTTGCTGGAGCAGAAAGGAAAACCAGACCAAACGCAACTGACACCTGCCTATTGAGGGAACATTTAAACCAGCCCTAGCCAGAGGGGAATCGTGGATCCTAGCACTCCGAACTTGAGTGCCTGCAAGCCTTGGCACCAAGAGCTACAATGGCTCTGTGTCTCCAAGTAAACTTGAAAGGCAGTCTAGGCTGTAAGGATTGCAATTCTTATGTCCTAGTGCTGAACTAGGGCCAGAGACAGTGGACTGGGGAGGTACACAACAGACTAAGACACCAGCTGGGGCAGCCAAAGAAGTGCTAGCATCACCACTCCCCTAACCCCAGGCTGCACAGCTCACAGCTCCGAAAGAGACCCCTTTCTTCCACTTGAAAAGAGGAAGGTGAAGAGTGTGGAGGACTTTGTCTTGCATCTATGATACCAGCTCAGCCACAGCAGGATAGGGCACCAGTCAGAGTCATGAGGCCCTTTACCAGGCCCTAGCTCCCAGATGACATTTCTGGACACACCCTGGGCCAGAAGGAACCCGCTGCCTTGAAGGGAAGGACTCAATCCTGGCAGCATTTATTACTTGCTACATGAAGAGCCCTTGGACTCTGAATAACCAGCAGCAATACCCAGGTACTATGTATAGGGCCTTGGGTGAGCCTCTGAGAATTGCTGGCTTCAGGTGAGACTCAGCACATTCTCAGCTATGGTGGCTGCTGGGCAAAACTTCCTCTTGAGAAAAGCAGGGGGGAAAGTAAAAGGGACTTTGTCTTGTATCTCAGGTACCAGCATGGCCACAGGGAGGCAGGGCACCGAGAGGGTTCTTGGGGTTCCCAATTCTAGGATTTGCCTCTTGGATGGCGTGTCTGGACCTGCTGTGGGCCAGAGGGGAGCCCACCGCCCTGAAGGGTGAGTCCCAGGCCAGGCAGCACTCACAACAAGCTGACTTAAGGGATGTTGGGCCAGGCTAGGTGCAGTGGTTCACGCCTGTAATACCAGCACTTTGGGAGGCCGAGGCGGGCGGATCACGAGATCAGGAGATCGAGACCATCCTGGCTAACACGGTGAAACTCTGTCTCTACTAAAAATACAAAACATTAGCCGGGCGTGGTGGTGGGCGCCTGTAGTCCCAGCTACTAGGGAGGCTGAGGCAGGAGAATGGCATGAACCTGGGAGGCGGAGCTTGCAGTGAGCCGAGATCGCGCCACCGCACTCCAGCCTGGGCGACAGAGCAAGACTCCGTCTCAAAAAAAAAAAAAAAAAAAAAAAAAGAGAGACGTTGGGCCTTAAGGGAACATCGGAGGTGGTCTGGTAGTACTCCTCATGGCCTGGGGTGGCAGGGGCTCCTCTGCCTTTTGAAAGGGGAAGGAATAGTGGGAAGGACTGCATCTTGTGGTTTGACTGCCAGCTTAGCCTCAATACAACAGAACATCAAGCCAACTTCTACGGGTTTTGACTCTAGTCCCTGACTCCTGGACTACACTTCTAGACCCACATGGGTCTGAGGAACCTCAGTGCCCTGAAGAGAAGGACACAGGCCTGACTGGCTTTGCCACCTGCTGATTGTAGAGCCTGAGGGCCATGAATGAACACAAGTAGTAGCCAGGGAGTGGTTACAGCAGGCCTTGGGTGAGACCCAGCACTGTGCTGGCTTCAAGTCTGACCCAGCACAGTCACAGTGGTAGTGGCCACATCTCCAGGTTTCATTCCATCTCCAGGTTTAGGTGGCTCAGAACACAGAGAGAGACTGTGTATGTTTGGGAGAAAGTAAGGGAAGAGAACAAGAGTCTCTGTCTGGTAATTCAGAGAATTCTCCCAAGTCTTGTTCTAGATAATGAGGCAGTGCCTCTATGAGTCTACAAGAACCACAGTGTTCCTGAGCTTGGGGCTTAGAGGACAGCACCCAAGTACTTTCATATATCTGGAAAGCTTTCCCAAGAAGTATGGGTAAAAATAAGTCCAGGCAATGAATATTACAATGAATACCTAACTCTTAAATACCCAAACACTAAAAAAAATCTACTAGCATCAATATCATACAGGAAAACATGACCTCACCAAATGAACTAAATAGGCACCAGGGACCAATTCTGAAGAGACAGATATATGTGAGCTTTCAGGCAGAGAATTCAAAAGAGCTATGTTGAGGAAACTCAAAGAAATTCACAGAGAAGAAATTCAGAAGTCTATCAGATAAATTTAACAAGTAGATTGAGACAATTGAAAAGAATGAAGATGAAATTCTGGAGCTGAAAAATGCAATTGGCACACTGAAGAATGCATCATAGTCCTTAATAGCAGAACAGATCAAGCAGAAGAAAGAATTAGTGAGCTTGAAGGCAGGCTATTTGAAAATACACAGTAAGAAGAGACAAAAGAAACAAGAATTAAAAACAACGAAGCATGCCTACAGCATCGAGAAAACAGGCTCAAGAGGGCAAATCCAAGTTTTTTTTTTAACACCCCGCTTTCAGCATTGGACAGATCTTCCAGACAGAAAGTAAACAAGGCAACATCAGACTTGATCTTTACTATGGACCAAATGGATCTAACAGATATGTACAGAACATTTCATCCAAGTGCTGCAGTGTACACATTCTTTTCCTCAGCACATGGACTATTCTTAAAGATAGATTATATGTTAGATGTCAAAACAAATCTTAAAGCATTCAAAAAATTGAAATAATATCAAACATCTTCTCTGATCACAATTAAATAAAACTAGAAATTAATAACAACAGGAATTTTGGAAACTATACAAATACATGGAAATTCAACAATATGCTCCTGAATGACCAGTGGGTCAATGAAGAAATTAAGAAGAAAATTTAAAAATTTCTTGAAACACGTCATAATGGAAGCACAACATGCCAAAACCTATGGGATACAGCAAAAGCAGAACTAAGAGGAAAGTTTATAGCTATAAGCGCCTATATCAAAAAAGAGGAAAAACATCAAATAAAAAACTTAATGATGTATCTTAAAGAACTAGAAAAGCAAGAGCAAACAAACCCCAAATTAGTAGGAGAAAAGAAGTAATAAAGATTTGAGCATAAATAAATAAAATTAAAATTAAGAAAACTACAAAAGATTAATGAGACCAAAAGTTGGTTTTTTGAAAAGCTAATTAAAATTGACAAACTTTAGTCAAACTAAAAAACAAAGAGAGAAGATCCAAATAAAAAAAATCAGAAATGAAAAGGGAGATATTACAACTTATACTGCAGAAATTCAAAGGATCATTAGTAGCTACTATGAGCAACTATATGCCAATAAATTGGAAAATCTAGAAGAAATGGACAAATTCCTAGTTACATACAACTTACCAAAATTGAACCATGATGAAATCCAAAATCTGAACAGACCAATAACAAGTAATGAGATTAAAGCTATAATTAAGTCGCAGAGTAAAGAAAACACCAGAATCTGATGGCTTCACTGCCGAATTCTACCAAGCATTTAAAGAAAAACTGATACCAATCCTACTCAAACTATTTTGAAAAACAGAAGAGGGAATACTTCCAAACTCATTCTACAACGCCAGTGTTGTTACCCCGATACCATAAACAGATAATGACACATCAAAAAAAGAAAACTATAGTCCAATATCTCTGATAAATATTGATGTAAAAATCCTCAACAAGGTACTACCAAACTGAATTCAACAATACATTAGAACGATCATTTATCATGACCAAGTGGGATTTATCCCTGAGATGCAAGGATGGTTAAACATGTACAGATCAATCAACGTGATACATCATATCAACAGAATGAAGGATAAAAACCATATGATTATTTCAATTGATGCTGAAAAAGCATTTGATAAAATTCAACATCCCATCACGATAAAAACCCTAAAAAAACCTGAGGATAGAAGCAACGTACTTCAACATACTAAAAGCCATATAAAACAGACCCACAGCTACTATACTAAATGGGGAAAAACTGAAAGTATTTCCTCTAAGATCTGGAATGTGACAAGAATGCCCGCTGTCACCACTGTTATTCAACATGGTACTAGAAGTCTTTGCTAGAGCAATCAGACAAGATAAAGATATAAAGGGCATCCAGGTTGGAAAGGATAATTTGCAAATTATCCTTGCTTGTAAATGATATGATCTTATATTTGGAAAAACCTAAAGACTCCACCAAAAAAACTATTAAAACTGATAAATAAATTCAGTAAAGTTGCACTATACAAAACCAACAAATAAAAATCAGCAGCATTTCTATATGCCAACAGTGAACAATCTGAAAAAGAAATTTAAAAGTAACCTCATTCACAATAGCCACAAATAAAATTAAATACCCAGGAATTAACTAAAGAATTTAAAAAAATCTCTATATTGAAAATTATAAAACATTGATGAAAGAAATTTAAGAGAATAACAAAAAATGGAAAAGTATCCTATGTTCATGGATTGGAAGAATCAATATTGTTAAAATGTCCATATTGCCCAAAGCAATCTACAGATTCAATGCAATCCCTATCAAAATACTAACAACATTATTTACATGAATAGAAGAAGAAAATCCCAAAGTTTATATGAAACCACAAGAGCCCCAGAATAGCCAAGACTATCCTAAGCAGAAAGAACAAAACTGGAGGAATCACATTACCTACTTCAAATTGTACTACAGAGCTATAGTAAACAAAACAGCATGGTACTGGCATAGAAACAGACACATCAGTCAATGGAACAGAATAGAGAACCTAGAAACAAATCCACACACCTACAGTGAAATGGTTTTCAACAAAGAAGCCAAGAACATGCACTGGGGAATAGGCAGTCTCTTCGACAAATGGTGCTGGGAAAACTGGATATCCATGGGCAGAACAATGAAACCAGACCCCTATCTCTCACAATATACAAGAATCAAATAAAAATGTATTAAAGACTTAAATCTAAGACCTCAGACAATGAAACTACTACTAGAAAACATTGGGGAAAATCTCCAGGACATTGGTATGAGCAAAAATTTCTTGAGTAATACCCCATAAGGACAGGCAACCAAAGCAAAAATGGACAAATGGGATTACATCAAGTTAAAAAGCTTCTGCACAGCAAAGGACACAATCAACAAAGTGAAGAGACAACCCACAGAATGGTAGAAAAAATATTTGCAAACTACTCATCTGACAACAAATTAACAACCAGTATATATAAGGAGCTCAAACAACTCTATAGGAAAAAAATCTTATAATCTGATAAAAAAAAATAAGCAAAAGATTTGAATGGGCATTTCTCAAAAGAAGATATACCAGTGGTAAACAGGTATATGAAAAGGTGCTCAACATCATTGATCATCAGAGAAATGCAAATCAAAACTACAATGAGATACCATCTCACCCCAGTTAAAAAATGTCTTTTATCCAAAAGACAGGCAATAATAAATGCTGGTGAGGATGTCAAGACAAGGGAGCCCTTGTATACTGTTCATGGAAATGTAAATTAGTACAGCCACTATGGAGAACAGTTTGAAGGTTCCTGAAGAAACTGGAAATAGAGGTACCGTATGATCCAGCAATCCAACAGCTGGGTATATACACAAAGAAAGGAAATCAGTATATTGAAGAGATATCTGCACTCCTATGTTTGTTGCAGCATTGTTTACAATAGCTAAGATTTGTAAGCAACCTAAGTGTCCACCAACAAATGAATGGATAAAGAAAATATGATACATATACACAATGAAATACCATTCAGCCATAAAAAAGAATGAGGTCCAGTCATTTGCAACAATATATATGGAACTGGAGATCATTATGTTAAGTGAAATAAGCCAGGCACAGAAAGATAAACGTTGCATGTTCTCACTTATTTGTGAGATCTAAAAATCAAAACAATTAAACTTACTGACATAGAGAGTAGAAGGATGGTTACCAGAGTCTGGGGAAGGTAATGGGGAATTTGGGGGGAGGTGGGGATGGTTAATGGGTCCAAAGAGAGCTAGAAAGGATGAATAAAACCTAATATTTAATAGCACAATAGGGTAACTAAAGCCAATAATAACCTAATTGTACATTTTTAAATAAAGAGTGTAATTGGATTGTGTGTCACTCTAAGAATAAATGCTTGAAGGGATAGATATCCCATTCTCCATGATGACCTTATTTCACATTGCATGCCTGTATCAAACATCTCATGTATCCCATAAATACGTTCCTACAAAAATTAAAAATTAAAAATTAAATAATGATTGAAATTTTTCCAAATTTGATCAAACTAATCATAAAATCTGGCAGAAAGGAAATCAATTAGGTACAGAGAAACAAATATTAAGATATATCATTAGTTTTTTATCAGAAATCATAAAGGCTACAATAAAATAGAACATCTTTAAAGCAGCTAAAGAAAAAACTGTCAAACTAGAGTTTTTTACCCAGCAAAAATATCTTTCAAATGTATGTTACATACATACAAAAGCTGAAATAATTCATCACCAGCAGACCTGCACTATAAAATATGTTTCTAAATAAAAGTTCTTCAAGCAGAAGGAAAATGATAACAGAGGAAACTTGGATCCTCATGAAGGAATAAAGAGCACCATAAATGCTAACTACATGAGTAAATAAAAATATTTTACTATTACTTAATTTTCTTTAAAAGGTAATTGACTATTTAAACAAACAAGTTTTATGGGGTTTATAATATTTTTAAATCTAAGTGTATGTAAAATGTATGAGAGCAACAGTAACATTATCAAGAAAGGGAGAAATGGAAGTATACTGTATACTGTTATAAGGTTATTATATCATAGATGAAGCAGTAAAATATTATTGGTAGAGATGATATTCTATCGATCTTTCATGCTTCCACATTTTTGGGCTTTGCCAAGAATGCAAAGTTCTAATCACTTTCTTCCCAGGTTATTATGGTGTCTGCGGCAAGCAATGTTGAGGAATGAGGTAAAGTTTTCCTCTGGGAGGAAGGGTTGTCTTGTTTATTGCTTGCTATAAAATACTGTGTTCCTCAAGTTAAATATTCTTCTCCTATAATGCGAACCACTGACTGTGCATGCATTCATGTCCACCCCACTGGCCCCTGTGAGACCTGGGAGGTAAAAGGAACCAACACAAACATGTTGATGCTCATGCTGCCTGCTGTGCCATAAGTTAATAGTCCATCACCTCTGACCTCAGCGTCTCATACCTCCTTTCAGCATCTATGAAACAATAACAGGATACTTTATTTATTAGCTTTTAAGTAGGATAAAATAAAATTTAAGACCTAACAAATAACACTTGGAATTGACTGTGATAAGTTAAAGATGTGTACTACAAACCTTTAAAGCAATCAGTAAAACACTTACAGCTAATAAACCAAGAAAGGAAATAAAAGAAATCACAAAATGCAATTGATCTAAAGGAATGCAGAGAAGAAGGAAAAGAAGAGCCAAGGATGATGAGACAGGAATAAATATAAGATGATAAATTTAAATCTAACTATATCAATATTGTTTTTAAATGTAAATAATCTAACTACATCAATTTAAGTTTGGAACTTCTCAAACTGGGTAAAATAAGACCCAACTACACGCTGTCCATGAGAAACTAATTTCCTGTGTAAAGAAACAAATAAGCTAAGAGTAAAGGGATGGAGAAAGATAGGCAACAAAAACACTAATCAAAAGACATTTGCAGTGGTTACATGTCAGACTAAGTAGACTTGCAGTGGTTACATATCAGGCTAAGTAGATTTAAGACCAAAGAATATTATCAAAAATAGAGGATTATTTTATAATAATAAATGGTTAAATTCATCATGAAAAGACTACAATTCTAAACATTTATTAAACAACAGAGCTTTAATATATATGAAGTAAGAACTGATAGAAAAAAGAAGAAATAGAAACTGCAGTTATGCATGGATATTTTAGCACTCCTACTTCAATAATTGATTTTAAAAGCAGATGAAAATCAGTAAGAATACACAACCCTTGAAAAGTACTATCAACTAACAACATCTAATTGACATTTATAGAACACTCCACTTAATAGAAGATTAAACATATTTTCAAGTGCACACAGAATGTTTACCAAGAAAGACATTCTGGGTAAATTCTCAATGAATTTAAAAAGAGTCAAGTTTACAAAGTGAGTTCTCTGACCACAATGAAATTTAATTAGAAATCAATAATAGAAGGATATCTGGATAATCCCCAAATGCTCAGAAATGAAATAACACTTTTCTAAATAACTCATAGGTCAAAGAAGAAATCAGAAGAGAAATCAGAATGTATTTGAACTGAATAAAAATGAAAAACGCAATAAAAATTTGTGGGATGCAGCTGGAGTAGAATTTAGAGAGGTCTATATTAGAAAGGAAGATGAATCTCAAGTACTGATTTTAGCTTCTCCTTTAGAAAAGAGAAAAAGAAGAGCAAATTAAATAAAAAGTAAAGAGAAGGAAATAATAATAAAAATCACAGCTGAAACTGACTAAATAGAAATATAACAACACAGAAAATCAGCAAAACCAAAAGCTGCTGTTAAATAATTACAAAAATTGATATGCTCTAGCCAGGTTAATTGGGAATCATGAAAGAGAAAAAACAAAGTATCAGTATCAGGAATGAGAGAAGTCACATCACTATAGTTTCAACAAATATTAAAAGGATAATAAAAAATATTATAAACAACTTTATGCCATTATATCTGACAACTTAAATGAAATGGCTAAATTTCTCTAAGGACACAAACTTAAAAAGCTTGTTTGATCATTCATATGTCCTTTTATGACATGTTTTTCAAGTCCTTGCTCATTTATTGTGTGTTGTTTCTCATTTCATTATGGGTTGTAGGGGCTCTTTATACATTTTGCAATCAAATTAGTAAAATCAAAAATAAAAGGAAATTAATATGGATATTGGAGATATAAAAATAATTATAAGAAAGTACAATGAACAATTATATCTCAAAATTTAAATGAAATGGGCTAATTTTGGGCCAGATGTGGTAGCTCATGGCTATAATCCCAGCACTTTGGAAGGCTGAGTTGAGAGGATTGCTTGAGGCCAGGAGTTTGAGACCAGCCTGGGCAACATAGCAAGACTACATCACTACAATTAAAAAAAAAATGCATAGAAAGACACAAACTACCAAAACTGACTCAAGAAAACAGAAAATCTGGGACGGGCGCGGTGGCTCACACCTATAATCCCAGCACTTTGGGAGGCCGAGGCGGGCGGATCATGAGGTCAGGAGATCGAGACCATCCTGACTAACATGATGAAACCCCGTCTCTACTAAAAATACAAAAAATTAGCCGGGCATGGTGGTGGGCGCCTGTAGTCCCAGCTACTCGGGAGGCTGAGGCAGGAGAATGTCGTGAACCCGGGAGGCAGAGCTTGCGCGAGCAGAGGTCGCGCCACTGCACTCCAGCCTGGGGCGATAGAGCGAGACTCCGTCTCAAAAGAAAAGAAAAAAGAAAAAAGAAAACAGAAAATCTGAATAGACTCGTAACAAAGAGTTGGAATGATGATCAAGTTGGCCTTAACATTACCCTCAGCTTCACTAAACTTTAAATAAACTGCAAATAAACTTCTTTCTCATTATATGCCCCTGAAGTTCCTTTTCTTAGAAATTTTATTCAGAAAACTTGTAATTATAAATTATTTATCTGCTCTTTGAAGACGTAATTTTTTTTCCAACCTCTTGCCAGTTTTACATTTCAGGAATATCTTTCTCAAGGACCTGGGAACCATCTCTCTGAAATGTAATCATCCAATAAAAAAGTGTTCCTATCTCCCAGTTTCTGGGGGAGGGTAGAAGTAGGTAGGATACCTTGCTCCAAATTGTGAAGCTACTTTCTGTTATAAAGACAGGAGAAGGTTTACTTTTTCTCTGGGAAAAACCAATTCGCAAACACTGATGGCCTATAATCTCCCTGACCTTCTCCAGCACTTAAAACATTTCCAGCACTTTGTCTTGAAGGAACCAGGTATCCAGATGTGTTGTGTGACCTCTGCTCTATGCTGGCACTAGTATCAGAATAAAAACAACTGTTGTCTGTCTGCTCATCTTGTCCGGTACATTTTTTTTTTCTTTAATAGCTAGTAATAACAACAAGAAAAATCCCACAAAGAAAAGTACAGGACCAGATAGCTTCAATGATAAATTTTATCAAATGTTTAAATAAAAATTAATACCAATCCTTCAAAAACTCTATTAGATAAATAGATGAGGAGCACTTTTATAGGAATATTATGAGGACAGTATGACCCTAATTCCAAGGCGAAAGATATTATAAGAAAAGATCACTACAGATTAAAATCCCTTAGAAATATAGATACAAAAATTCTCAACAAAATACTGGCAAACCAAATCCAGCAACAAATAAAAATATGATACATTATGACCTAGTTTGAATTATCCCAGGAAGACAAAGTTAGCTCAATATATGAAAATCAGTCTATGTAGTATACCATGTTAATGGAATAAAAGGGAAAAATTACATGATTATCTCAATAGACACAGAAAAAACATTTGACATAATCTGACAACCTTTCATGACAAGGACACACAACAAAATAAGAATAGAAGAGAGCTCCCACAATCCGTTAAAGAGCATTTATTTTTTTAAAAAATACCCACAACTAACTTAATAGTGAAAAACTGAAATCTTTCCCCCTAAGTTGAAGGACAAGACAAGGATGCCCATTCTCGCCACTTCTATTCAACATTGTACTGAAAGTTCTAGTTGGGAAATTTTACAAGAAAAAGAAATTAAAGGCATCCATATTGGAAAAAATGTGAAATTATTTTTACATGAAGATGACATGATATTATATATAAAAAACCTATAAAAATACACATATATACACACACACACGAACTAATAAACAAGTCCAGCAAATTTGCAGGATACAAAATCAATAGACAAAAGGCAATTGAATTTCTATACTCTAGCAATAAACAATCTGAAAATGAAATTAATAAAATAATTCTACCATCAACCAAAAAAGTATAAGCTTTTTACACTGACAACTATAAAGTATTATTCAAATAAATTTTCAAAGATCTAAATAAATGGAAAGCATTTTGTGTTTATTGATTGAAAGATTGAATATTGTTAAGAAGGCAATATCTCCCAGATTGAGCTACAGATTCAATGCAATCTTTATCAAAATTCTAACTGCCATTTTTGGTAAATAGAGAAGTTAATCTTAAAATTCATATGAAAATGCAAGGGGCTCCAAACAGCTAAAACAATATTAGAAAAGAAGAATGAAGTTGAGAGACTCACATGTCACAATTTAAGAAGCTACTACAAAACCACAGTAATAAAGAGAGTGTGGTATTGGCAGAAGAATTGACTTATAGACAAAAGGAATAGTATTGAAAGTCCAGAAATAAGGCCATACAATAAGATCAACTGATTTTGGACAAGGGTACCATTGCCATTCAACAGAGAAGGAGTAGTCTTTCAGCAAATGGTGTTGGGCAACTAAATATCCACATGCAAAAGAATAAATTAGGTCCTCAAACCATATATAAAAATTAACTCAAAATAGAATAAAGAGCTAAATATAAAAGCACCATGTATAAAACTCTCAGCAAAAGTAGATGTATATCTTCATAAGTTTGAATTTGCAAGATTTCCTGTGCCTATCAAATCATGATAGACCTATCAACATTCATTTCCAGCACTACTTCATTCAATGTATTCAGACTTCAGAAAATATCTGCAACTGTGCCTATAACACTGGTCCTGTTCTCCTGGGAACAGATTCATTTCTGCTGCTATTTCCTGCCCTCAGACTTTACTGTGCGTTATTTTCTAGTGATTGCCAATAATTTGATCTGCTCCAATCCATGCATGTCCCTGTCCCTGAACTCTCAACCTCATAATACACTATAAAATGCACATTCTAGTCCCACCCTGGAATGACTCTGTTCCAGCCCTCAGTTATTATGAAATATTTCTGACCATAATTGTTTATTCCATGCATAAAATATTCCAGGCTTAAGTTAAGATTTAGAAGTAAAATGTAAAATAAGCCCAAAAGATATCCTATTTTTCCAAACTATAGTGGTTTAAGAAGAAAAAGCAAATTCATTTTTCAGGTGTCTGATTTGGAGATTATACAAGTAAATAATGTTTTTACTAAATATTAGTAGAATTAAGAGCTAAATAATGGAGAAAATAAATATTCACATTTTATTTACATTTTCTTACTTACACATGAACTCTTATTTTTACCTGATTCAACATATTTCCTAAATTGCAAATGTATAGTTTTCATCTTCGTCAATTTATATTGCAGATTGAATAAACTGTACTGAATATTTAGAAACACAAACATCTTCTCTTGAATGATAAGCTAGTCATGAGGGGAAGAATAGGCATTCTCATTCTCAGGAATAGCCATATATATTTAGAATGCAAAGATTTCTTTTATAAATCTGAGACCAGAGAACCTATTGTAGATATGCAATACTGATTTAGAGAGTCCAGCTAGGCTGATGTGACCAAACAATAAATTGAAATTATTTTTCCTGAAGAAAAATTCATTAGCTAGAATAAGGAGGACATATTTTCACCTTTTTTTTGTTTGAATTTAGTTCTAAAAGCTATGTTGAGATTAAAAGCTTGAAATTTATTTTAAGTGAGGTTACTTGGAGAGATTATTTAGTGATTGGTCATGATGAATGTCATTCTCAGTAAGAGTCATAATTATCAGGTGATGCCATACAGTAATTAATGCTCTTGTACATTTTCTGGAGCAGCCTGAGGTAGGAAGGCACATACTCCTATCCCCACATTTAGATGAATGGCACCTACCAACATCCACTTATAAAATTTACATCTCTCTCCTCTCAGAATTTGACCCAATGCTCTTTGGGTACCTGCCTGCTGTTAGGACAATGGCTGCAAGTTTCTGTTCATGCTCTGCCTAGAGAAGAGAAAATACTAATCCTTACTCTTCCCTAGGCCAGGCACCCTCGTTTTTCTTTCCTGGGTCAAAAAGTAGCAGGAGCAGCAATTAGTTACAATTTTATTTATATGACTGCAGTCTCTGTGTAGGAATCTCGTCAGGTGAAAGAAAAATATATAGCTTTTGTTTCATCTTTGAAAATAAGAACTTAGTCTTTGACAAGTAAAACACCTAGTCATTCATGTTTAACATGAAGAAAATTTTGGGTTTATTAGACATAAACTGAGAGATTAAATGACTTACTCAGGTCAGTACAGATATGGGAAATCTTATAAATTTGAAACATACTTTTCTTATGACTTTATGTCATAAGGTTATAAAATATGTAAAATATTATTAATATTAATTCATACAAAGAAGGCAATGGCATGAGAATCAGACCTAGTAGAAAATAAGAGGAAAAAGCCCAAATATAAGGGATTACAGAAAAATGGTTGACAAACAAAACAAAACAATTTCTTTGGAAGACCAAAAGCCAAAATACCATTCTCCTCATGCTGAAACAATTATAATATAACCCTGAGACTGCCAGCTCAGGTTGCTTGATTCTAAAAATGTATCTACTGTCTTTTTATTCATGAATCTATTTCTCTAGGAAAATATACATCAATTAGTCCAGTTGCCTATTTAATAAATACTAGTAAAATATTACCCACTTATAAAGTTAATCCCTAAAGAGTGTACTATCATATAAATATACCAATCAGTCACTGCAACATCTAAATAGGAAAACTTTCCATTATGGACAAAATCAAGTGACAAGAAACATCATTCCATAAGAAGGATTTTTCCCCCTAACTACACTTGCAAATTATTCAAAAATTGTAGCTGTTCTCAAACCTGGTTTCACATAACAATCATCTGCAAAGCTTTTCAAAGAAGTTTAAATTCAACCCTACACTCAATACTGGATAGATCAGACTAAAGATAAGCAAAGTAAATCCAGGACTTGAATGACAATAGGACCAAAAAAGAAAAAAAAAAGAAAGAAAAAAGAAAGAAAGAAAGAAAGAAAACTAGACCTAATAAACATATACAGAACATTCCACCCAACAACAGAATACATATTCTACTCAAGTGCCTGTAAAGTATTTTCCAGATAGACCATATATAAGGCCACAAAACAAGTCTTAGTACATTTTAAAAATATTTAAATTACACAGTGTCTTTTCAGAGCTCAATGGAATGAAGTTAGAAATCAATAACAGAAAGAAAAACAGAAAAATTCACACAAAAATGTGGATTGAAACAACACACTCTTAAACAAACAATGGGTCAAAGAATAAACCCCAAAGAAAATTAGAAAATACATAAAGGCAAATGAAAACAAAGCACAACATACTAAAGCTTATGGGACTCAGCAAAAGGAGTGGAATTTATAGCTGTAAATACCTATATTAAAAAAGAAGAAAGACCCCAAGCCTACATCTAAGTTTATATTTTTAAAAAGTAGCAAAAAATGAGCAAGTCAAACCCAAAGTTAGCAGAAGGAAGAAAATAATAAAGAATAGAGCAAAGATAAACAAAAAAGAGAATAGAAAAACAATAGAGAAATATTAATATAACTAAAAGTTGGCTCTTTGAAAATATAAACAGAATTGACAAACCTTAAGTTAGACTGACAAGGAACAGAAGAGAGAATATGCAAAAAACTAAAATTAAGAAGGAAAGTGGAAACATTACTACCAAACTTACAGAGATAAAAAGAATTATGAATACTATGAAAAATGTATATTAACAAGTTAGATAACCTAAAAAGACACATTCTTGGAAACATACAAATTACCTAAACTAACTCAAGGAGAAATAAAAAAATCTCAATAGATTTATAGTAAGTAAGAGACTGAATAAGCAAACAAACACTATCCAACAGAGAAAAGTTCTGGATTAGATGGCTTCACCAGTCAATTATACTGAACATTTAAAGAAGAATTACTATCAATCTTTCTCAATCTCTTCCAAAAAGTTGAAGAAAAAGAAAACACCTCCTAATTCATTATATGAGGCTAACATTACTCCAATATCGAAATCAGATAAAGATGTTACAAGAAAGAAAATAACAGATTAACATTTCTTATAAGTATGCGGGTAAACCTTCTAAACGCAATATTAGTCAGTCAAATCCACCAGCATATTAAAGGAATTATTCACAAAGACCAAGTGGGATTTATCTCAAAAATGCAAGAGTGGTTCAAAATAAGAGAGTAAATCAATATAATTATATCACATTAAGAGAATGAAGAAAAAAAATACATGATCATCTCATTTGATGCAGAAAGGCATTTGATAAAATTCAACACCATTTTATGATTAAAAACTCTTAGACAACTAGAAATTTAGGAGAAATTCCTCTAAATAATAAAGGTATTTTTTTATTTTCCTCCAGCTTTATTTAGGTAACATTAATAAATAAAAATGGTATATATTTATAGTATCTAATGTGATGATTTGATAGACATATATAATGTAAAATGATTACATCAAGCCAATTAAGATATCAACATCTTATGTATGTATCAGTTTGTCTGCGGTGAGAACATTTAATCAAATCTTAGCAATGTTTAAATATACAAAGCATTATTATTAACTATAATCACCATGTTGTACATAGATCTCCAAACTTGTTCATTCTAACTGAAACTCTGCAATCTTTGAACATCTCCCTATCCTCCTCCAGTCCCAGTCTCTATTCTTTGCTTCTGTGAGTTCAAATTTTATAAATGGTATTTATGAAAAGCCCACAATTAACATCATATTCAGTGATGAAAGACTGAAAGCATTCTTCCTAAAATCAGAAACATGACAAGAATGTTTCAACACTGCTGTTCAACATTGTACTGTAAGTTTTAAACAGAACTATTAGAAATAGAAATAAAGAAAAAAGAAATAGAAAGCATCCAAACTGGAAAGGAAGAAAGAAAACTATATTTATAAGTGACCTAATCCCAAATATTCAAAACTTCAAATAATCTACAATAAAGCTACTAGAGTAATAATTATGTATTTTGTACAATTAATTTATAAAAAATTCTTTAAAGTTGCAGGATACAAGATCAACACACAAAAATCAGTTGTTTTTAATATACACTATCTACAAACAACCCCCAAAAGAAATTGTGAATAAATACCTTGTACAATGTGACTAAAATAATTAAATACATAGAAATAAATTTAATCAAGAAAGTAAAAGCCTTATACACTCAAAATTATAAAACCCTACCAAAAGTAATTAAAGATCTTGAAAAGTGGAAAGACATCTTGTACTCATGGAAGAAAGTTTGACGTTGTTAAGATGTCAATACTACCCAGAGCAATTTATAGATTTAAAACAATGCCTATCAAAATTGTCACAGATTTTTCATGCAAAAATGGAAATGCTAATCTTTAAACTGATATAAAATTGCAAGGGTTCCTGAAAAACCAAAACAATATCGAAAATGAAGAATAAATTTAAAGAACTCACACTTCCTGACTTTGAAACTTACTAAAAAGCTACAATAATCAAGAGAAACTGATATTGGTTTAAGAACAGATATACATACCAGTAGAATTAAAGAGAGAGGTCAGAAATAAACTCTCATATATACAGTCAATTGAATTTCTTTTTTCTGACTTTTATTTTAAATTCAGGGGCACATGTGCAGGTTTGTTACATAGGTAAATGTGTTTTATGGGAGTTTGTTGCACACATTCTTTCATTACTCATATTAAACCTGGTACCCATTAGTTACTTTTCCTAATCCTCTCCTTCTTTCCACCCTCCACCCTGCAATAGGCCTGAGTGTGTGTTGTTCCCCTCTATGTGTCCATGTGTTCTCATCATTTAGCTCCCACTTATAACTGAGAACATGCAGTATTTGATTTTCTGTTCCTGCATTATTTTCCTAAGGAAAATGGCCTCCAGCTCCATCCATGTCCCTGCAAAGGACATAATCTTATTTTTTTTTTTTGTTTTTTTTATGATTGCCTAGTACGTACTCCATGGTGTATATGAATCACATTTTCCTTATGCAGTCTATCATTGATGGGCATTTAGGTTAATTCCATGTCTTTGCTATTGTGAATAGTGTTGCAATGGATGTAAGTGTGCATGCGTCTTTATAATAGAATGATTTATATTCCTTTGGGTATATATGCAGTAATGAGGTTGCAGGATCAAATGGTATTTCTGCCTCTAGGTCTTTGAGGAATCCCCACGCCGTCTTCCACAATGGTTGAAATAATTTACATTCCCACCAACAGTGTATAAGTGTTCCTTGTTCTCTACAACCTTGCCAGCATCTTTTTTTTTTTTTTGACTTTTTAATAATAGCCATTCTGACTGGTGCCAAGATGGTATCTCACTGTGGTTTTGATTTGCATTTATCTAATGACAGGGATGTTGAGCTTTTTTTCATATGTTTGCTGGCTGTGCAAATGTCTTCTTCTGAGACGTGTCTGTTCATGTCCTTTTGTCACCTTTTAATGGTTTTTTTTTCTCGTAAATTTAAGTTTCTTACAGATACTGGACATTAGACCTTTGTCAGAGGCTTAGTTTGGAAAAATGTTCTATTTTGTAGGTTGTCTGTTTATTCTGTTGATAGTTTCTTTTGCTGTGTAGAAAGTCTTTAGTTTAATTAGATCCCATTTGTCAATTTTTGCTTTTGTTCCAGTTGCTTTCGGTGTTTTCATCATGAAATCGTCGCCTGTGCCTATGCCCTGAATGATATTGCCTAAGTTATTTTCCAGAGTTTTTATAGTTTTGAGTTTTACATTTAAGTCCTTAATTTATCTTGAGCTAATTTTTGTACATAGTGTAAGGAAAAGTCCAGTTTCAGTTTTCTGCATATGGCTAGCTAGTTATCTCAGCACCATCAACACACGTAGGCTCAAAATAAAGGGATGGAGAAAATTCTATCGAGCAAATGGAAAACAGAAAAAAGCTGCGGTCACAATCCCAGTTTCTGACAAAACAGACTTTAAACAAACAAAGACCGAAAAATAAAAGAAGGGCATTACATAATGGTAAAGGGTTCAATTCAACAAGAAAATCTAAATATCTTAAATATATATGAACCTAGTACAGGAGCACACAGACTTATAAGCAAGTTCTTAGAGACCTACAAAGAAACATAGACTCCCACACAATAATGGTAGGAAACTTTAACAACCCACTGACAATACTAGACAGATCATCAAGACAGAAAATTACCAAAGATATTCAGGACCTGAACTCAGCCCTAGATCAAATGGACCTGATAGAGATCTACAGATCCTTTCACCCAAAACCAACAGACTATACATTTTTCTCATCAACACATAGCACATACTCTAAAATCAATCACATAATCAAAAGTAAAACACTCCTTAGCAAATACAAAAAAACTGAAATCATAACATACTCTTGATCCATAGTACAATGAAATTAGGACTCAAGACTAAGAAATTTACTCAAATCCACACAACTACATGGAAATTGAACACCCTGCTCCTGAATGACTTTTGAGTAAATAATGAAATTAAGGCAGAAATCATCTACATATTTACAGTCAACTGATTTTTGACAAATGTACCAAGAACACACAATGAGGAAGGGGTAATATCTTCAAAAAACTGTGTTGGGATAACTGGATAGACACATACAGACAGATAAAAGTGAACCCTATCTCATATCTCATATCACAAAAAATCAACTCGGCTGGGTGTGGTGGCTCATGCCTGCAATTCTAGCACTTTGGGAGGCCGAGGTGGGTGGATTGCCTGAGCTCAGGAGTTCAAGACCAGCCTGGGAAACATGGTGAAACCCGTGTCTACTAAAATACAAAAGAAATCAGCTGAGCGTGAAGTTGCGTGCCTGTAGTTCCAGCTACTCCGGAGGCTGAGGTAGGAGAATTGCTTGAACCTGGGAGGCAGAGGTTGCAGTGAGCCGAGATCGTGCCTCTGCACTCCAGCCTGGGTGACATAGCAAGACTCCATCTCTAAAAGAAAAAAAATCAACTCAAAATAGATTAAAGACTTAAACATAAGATTGGAAACTATGAAACTAACAGAAGAGAACATAGGGGGAAAGGTTCTTGACATTGCTCTGGGAGATGATTTTTTGAATATAACCTTAATAGCCCAGACAACAAAAGCAAAAACAGACAAATGGCATTGCATCAAAACTAAAATATTTTTGCACAGCACAGCTAATTTTAAAAAAGCAACAAAGTTAAGAGAAAACCTACAATTTTGTCCTATGGAAGAATATATTTGCAAACCATCTGATAAAGGATTAATATCTAAAACATATAAGGAACTCAAACAACTAAATAGCAAAAAAACACAATACGCATTTGAAAAATGAACTGAAAAATACTAAACATCACCAAGCAGCAGGGAAATGCAAATCAAAACCACTATGAGATATTATCTTATACCTATTTAAATGGCTACTATCAAAAAGACAAATGTGTTGCTGAGGATGTTAAGAAAAGGGATCCTTTGTGCATCACTGGTGGAAATGTAAATTGGTATAACCATTATGGAAAACAGTGTGAAGTTTTCCTAAAAATTAAAAATAGAGCTACCATATAAAATATGGTGTATATATATATATATATATATATATATATATATATATACATACATATATGTATCCCTAAGAATTGAAAGCAGAGAGTTCAACAAAATTTTTTATAGCTATGTTCGTAGCAGCATACTTCACAACAGCAAAAAGGTAAAAACAACAGAAATATCCATCAACAGATGAATGGATAAACAAAATGTGGTATATGTGTGTACAGTAAAATATTTAGCCACAAAAAGAAATAAAATGTTTGATATGTGCTACAACATGGAGGGACCTTGAAAATATTATGCTGGGTGAAATAAGCCAAACACAGAAGGACAAATAGCATATGTAAAAATATACAGAAGTACAAATATGAGGTTCTTCGAAAAGGCAAATTTGTAGAGAGAGGAAGTAGAACAGAAGTTAACAGAGGATGGGGAGATGGGGAGAGGAATGCTATGGTTTAATGGGTACAGAGCTTTTGCTCAGGTTGATGAAAACATGTTGGGTATCAATAGTGGTGATAGCTATACTACAATGTGAATGCACTTAATGCCATTAAAACATACACTTAAGAATGGTTAAAATTATAAATATTGTGTATATTTTGCCACAATAAAAAGTATTGAGGCCAAACCAAAGACTTTACAAAAAGGAAAATTATAGACAATATCTATTATGAACCAAGTTGTGAAAATCTTCAATAAAATATTAGTAAATTGAATTCAATGAAGTATAAAGGAATTTTATACCATGACCAATTCCAGATTTATGCTAAGTATGCATGGCCGGTTCAAGATCTGAAAATTAATTAATGTAATCCACCATATCAACAGGGTAAAGAAGAAAAATTACATGATTATATCAATTGATGTAGTAAAAGCATTTGACAAAATCTAATACCCATACATGATAAAAATTTTCAGCAAACGACGAATTGAGGAAAATTTCCTCCACTTAATAAAAGATATCTACAAAACAACCTAATAAAGACATCATAACTGTGAGAAACTAGATGCTTTGTTTTCCCAGACTGGGAAAAAGTGAACATGTTCCCTTTTACTTCTCTTATTTGATATTATACTGGACATAGTACATAGTGCTTTAAGATAAGAGAAAGAAAGAAATCACACAAATTGGGAAGAAATAAATAAAACTACCTTTTTCAAAGATTACATGACTGTTTGTGTATTAATAGAAAATCCCAAATAATCAACAAAAAATCCCAGAATTAATAAGTAATTTTAGCAAGAGCACAGGATAAAAGGCAAATATCCAAAGTTAATGGTTTTTCTTTATATAACAATGAATTGGAGTTTGAAATTTTTAAAAAATCATTTACATTAGCATCAAAAGTTAAATACTTAAGTATTAACAAAATATGTTTATGATCTATATGCAGAAAACTACAAAACTCTGACAAATGAAATCAGAGAAAATCTACATAGAGATATATTCTGTGTTTATGAATTAAAGTACTCAGTATTGTTAAGATGTTCATTCTTTCTAACTTAGTCTGTAATCTAAGTCAAAATCTAGTCAACATACAAGCAAGATATTTCATGGACATCGCTAAAGTGATTATAAAGTTCGTATGAAAAGGCAAAAAAAGTGCATAATGGCCAACACAATACTGAAGAAGAATAAAGTTGGAGGATTGACAACGCCTTCTTCAAAATTTACTATACTGCTACAATGATCAAGACAATATAGCATTGGCAAAAGAATAGACACATAGAACAATGGAACAGAATACAGAGTTCAGAAACAAACCCACACAAATATAGTCAACTAATCTTTAACAAAAGGAGCAAAGGAAACTCAATGGAGAAAGAGCTGTCTTTTCAACAAATGATGCTGAAAGAATTAGACATCCATCTAAAAAGAATCTAGACACAGACTTCATTACACTTTTCACATAAGTTAACTCAATGTAAAATTAAAACTATAAAACTTCTACAGAAAACAAGGGAGAAATCTAGGTGGCCTTGGGCTTGATAAGTTTCTAGATACAACGCCAAAAGTAAAATGCATGAAAGAAAAAATTGATAAGTTGGAATTTACTAAAATTAAAAGCTTCAGCTCTGCAAAAGACACTTTTCAGAGAATGAAAAGACAAGACAAAGATTAAGCAAAAATATTTGTAAACCTATCTGATAAATGCATTCTATTCAAAATATGCAAAACAAAAAACTCTACAATAAGAAAACAAACAAAAAACAAAAATGGGACAAATATACAAAAAAACCTCACAAAAGAAGATATGTAGATGAAAAAATAAGTATATAAAAAGTTGTTCAACATCACTTGTCGTTAAAAAAATGCAAATTAAAACAATGAGATACCACTATCCATATCTTAGAATAGCTGAAATACAAAAAACTGACAATACCAAATCCTAGTAAAGACATTGAGCAACAGAAACTTTCATGTATTGCTTGTGTGAATGCAAACTGATACGAACACTTTAGAAGACAGTTTAGCTATTTCTTACAAAGTTAAACATAGTCTTATACAATCCAACAATCATGCTCATAGTTATTTACACAATTGAGTTGAAAGATTATGTCCACAAAATATTTGTGCATGAACACTTAAAGCATCTCTATTCGTAATTACTAAAAACTAGAAGCAACAAAGATGCTCTTAAATGGGTGAAAAAATTGTGATACCATCATACAGTGGAATACTATTCAGCAATAAAAATAAATGAACTATCAAATGATGAAATGATATGGAGAAACCTCGAGTGCACATTGCTAAGTGAAGGAAGTCAATATCAAAAGCCTACATATTGTATGATTCCAATTATATGACATTCTGGAAAATGCAAAATTATAGAGACAGTAAAAAGATCAGTGGTTACTATGGGAGTAGGAAAAGGGCAGAAGAAATAAGTGAAGCACACAGGTGAAATGATTCTGTATGATACTGTAATGATAGATATATGGCATTACGCATGTGTCTATAGAACTTTATCACAGAAAGAATGAAGCCTAGTATATGCAAATTTTTTAAAAATTATATTTTTCCCAAATATAGATTCTAGGTTATTGACAAGAATTTTAAAGTTTCATGCTTTCAGAGGCTTACTAATTATTCTCAATGATATGCAAATTAAACATGATTGAGGAGTATTCCTTATAAGAACTCAAATTCGGGGGCAGTGGTAGGCAGAATGGTTCATCAAAGATATCCCCATCCTAATCCCTGGAACATAGGAATATGTTACATTGTATGGCAAAAGGGATTTAGATGTAAGTAGGTAACAGGCTGTAATACGGAGAAATGATCCTGGATTATTGAGTGAATTCAATCTAATGTCATGGAAGGGCCAAGGTGCCAAGGAGTGTAGGCAGCCTTAAGGAGTTAAGGGAGGCTCCCCACTGACATTCAGTAAGGAAAGAGGGACCTCAGTCTTATAATTGCACAGACCTGAATTCTGGCAATAACCTGAATTAGCATGAAAGCAGGTTCTCCCCTACAGCCTCCAGATAATAGTGCAGGGCCACCAACACTTTGATTTCAGCTTAAAGACACCCATTGTAGAGGACCAAGCTGACTCCATCCAGACTTCTGACTTATAGAACTGTGGGATAATAAATTTGTGTTCTTTTAAACCATTCATTTTGTGGTAATTTGTTACAGGAGACAATTGTAATTTTGCCCAACTCGAAAATAGCTTTAAATTTAAAAATGTTTAGAAACAGTGAGTTTAACCCTTACATAATGTATAACTGAGCACCATGAAGAAGATACCAGCAGATGAAGTATTACATAAATATTTCTAAACCCTGTACTACCTCTGCTATTCTGCTCTAGTTTATTTATTCATTCAATTCACTCATTCACTTAGATATTTTGAAATGGAAGTACCGAAAGGCTTGAAAGAGAAAAACAAACAAAAACCAGCAACATGAATGTAAATGAAATAAGAAATAATCAGTCTTGATGGATTAAAGAAAAACAAGGCCGGGTGCGGTGGCTCACGCCTGTAATCCCAGAAGTTTGGGAGGCCGAGGCGGGCGGATCATGAGGTCAGGAGATCGAGACCATCCTGGCTAACATGGTGAAACCCCGTCTCTACTAAAAATACAAAAAAATTAGCCAGGCATGGTGGTGGGCGCCTGTAGTCCCAGCTACTCCGGAGGCTGAGGCAGGAGAATAGCATGAACCCGGGAGGCGGAGCTTGCAGCGAGCAGAGATCATGCCACTGCACTCCAGCCTGGGCGACAGAGCGAGACTCCGTCTCAAAACAAAAAAAAAAAAGAAAAACAAGTGCATAGAGAAGGAACAATGAGAAAAGAAAATAGAAATTCATGAAATTACATATACAAAATTAGTAACCAGTAACCTTACAGTGGCTTAATAAAAACAGTGGTAGAGACCTGGGTTCTGGTTTCCGCTCTGCCTCTGACTGAGACAGACGTTTAAACAAGTCAATTAATTTAACTGGCCACTTAGTGAGCTAATGAAAATTTTCTAGGACCTTTTGGATTTCAAATTCGTAAACATAATAATAAGAGGAGGAATGGCTCTGGAAAAATGTTCTAGTATTCATGGAGTCCCCGCCTCTGACATTATTGCTGTGGACTCTATCTCAGAACTCCAAATGGTGTCATGACGCTTGTGGGACAGGAGAGCACTTTGAAAAGGCGATTATCAAGAGAAAACGAGGCTGACATGAAAACAGAAAGTGACTGTTTAAGACAAAGTTCTTTTAAGGGACTAAAGTGATACAAATGGGTACTAACAAGTAGACAATCATGAATATGATCTTTTTTGCTAAAAGAATAGCTCTCTGAAGACTCAAGGACTTGGCTGACTATTGAAGGTTGAGTTTAAATGGAAAGTTTCACAAGTTTGTTCCTCTGTACTGAAATTTCCTTCAATTATATTTTTAATTTAACTGTTATTGAGATAGTTTTATGCTAGCAAGTAGATGATTTAGTGGTGGTAATAAGCGGGATTTATTCGGGCCATTAACTATTCCCTAAAGGTTTCCATCTGAATGTTGCATCTTATTGAACCTGAAACTAAGTTTGTGTGAAAATTCCCATAAGAGTAAATTGTAGGATTCTCTATTTTTCTTCTATTCTAAGAAAATTTGGTTAAGGTAGCATTAGCAATGATAGGGAAACAATAAAGTCATTTTTTCCTAATTACTATAATTACAAGCTTTAAATGAGAAACATGAGTGATTAGGACTTTATATTGAAAACCGGGTTGTATAAGTTGTTGTCGGAGGACTTGCAAACTCTTAAGAGGGAGGGATTCCTCTCAGGCTGGGGACTGAGTTTTCTGCAACCATCTTAAAGAGACGAATTTATTATGCTCATGTAAAATGTGGTGAATAGATTGTAAATTATGTGCACAATGTAAAATTAAGAATGTATGGCTTTCTTCATATAATTAAGATTTTTGAGAAAGGTTGAAGAAGAAATTAAGAAAAAGAAAGCTTGGCTGGGCGCGGTGGCTCACGCCTGTAATCCCAGCACTTTGGGAGGCCGAGGCGGGTGGATCACGAGGTCAGGAGATCGAGACCATTCTGTAAATGGTGAAACCCCGTCTCTACTAAAAATACAAAAATTTAGCCGGGCATGGTAGCGGGCGCCTGTAGTCCCAGCTACTTGGGAGGCTGAGGTGGGAGAATGGCGTGAACCTGGGAGGCGGAGCTTGCAGTGAGCCGAGATCACGCCACTGCACTCCAGCGTGGGCGAAGGAGCGAGACTCCATCTCAAAAAAAAAAAAAAGAAAGAAAGAAAGAAAGAAAGAGAAAGGTTGGATCAAGGAAACTGAATAGGGAATGGAGTGTGTAAGAGAGAACAACCTGAAGATATTTTATACAATTTCCAATAACCCGGATTTCTCTGACTTGGTAATTTCCAAGATACGCTTGATTTATATTTGAATTATAACAACGAGGGTCAGAAGAGTCAGTTCACATGGGAAAAATAAATCTTTCAAATGCTAAATCTCATGAGAAAGCAGGATGATGGAATAAATAACAAATATCCTAAGACTCATTACAAAATTTTCAAGAATACATAGGCCAAGTCTATATCATAAAAACATTCTTAAGAGATTCTTTTTCACCTTAAAATTATTTTTTTAAGTCAAGAGAAAATGAAACCAGTTAAGGTGCCTCAACTTTCAAGGCGCTGCTAGTCCTCTGCTTCCTGCAGCTGCAGAGACAATCTTCATTCTTCACTTTGCAAGGCTATTACCTAGGGAATTGTATTCCTCTCCTCAGAGAAAACTCATAGATTGGACACTGGACTTAGGAGTTGTAGTAAAGGAATAATCATCCCTATTTTATATAAATTGGTGTTATATTTCTTAAAGTACTGTATCTAATAATATTAGCATGTGAGTCAGAAATATTAAAACAGAATGTATATATCACTGAAGTGTCTACAAAAATTTTCATGTGTTATATTTATATATTATTTCATCTTCACAACAAACCTGTGAAATATTATAATGCTCACTTAACTTGTAGCCCATTAGTTGGCCATCTCAATTATTGACAGCCTGATCAAGTATCTGGAGAGAATTAAAAAATTAATCAGCTCAAATCAATGTCTGGAAAGGCCATATATTAAAATTTGTCTGCTCTACTATTAAGAGAGTCATTCAGTTTTGCTCTGTACCTAACCCTATGTTCACTTGAGGCATAACTCTAAGAAAATGAATCATAACTGAGTAGAAAATCAACTAGAAGTGGTATGGGGAAAGGAGCAACGTGTTATTGATGGACACATTGAGAGGCAGTGGTCTGATATTTGAAACACTAACACATTTTTATTGTAAAGAAGACTTGGAAGCTAAAAATGGGAGCATTTACTCATGGCACAAATGCTTCTGAGTTATTTTATCAATAAAATAACATCAAAAAAATAAAATTTATTGTGGTTATTCACATGTATTGACTAGCGTACTGTTCATAGTACTTTATAAATATATTGGCATTTATACTCACCACAACACTATAATGTGGAAACTGTTAGTATCTCTATTTTACAGATAAAGGAACTGAGACATGGAGAATTTAAGAACTTTGTTCAAGGTCTCACAGCTAAGCAAAGACTTCTACCCAGGCAGTGTAACTCCAGAGCATGTAGTTTTAATTATTCTACCTTAATTCATATGACCACTCTGCATAATCCAGGAACAAATCTATTACATGCACTGAACTTGCTTTTTGAAGGCAGAGAAATAGATATGTTTAAGAAACATTTTCTTCAAAAATATTTTTATATTTTTTAGTTTGTTTTTAAGTTCATACATTTGTTATGTGAAAAAAAAAACTTTAAGAAATATCCCATTCCTTAGTAATATTAGTTTAAAAGTTTTGCAGTATTTAAAAGTTCTGACTACCTAACTGTCCCTCTGAAAAGCTAAAGAGCTAGAAGAACCAAAATGAGAAACTGTTAATATCTCTGATCACTTTAGTAACAGAAGAAAGGGAGAAAATAATAGTCATTTCAGACTAACACTTATTGTCTTCTGCATGCCAGGGCTGTCCATACCAGGTGGCAGACAGGAGGCTTGCACACTCTTCCACAGGGATCCCGGAGGTGTATGTGTTCTGCTAAGGATGGAACCACTGAACTTCCGGAGTAAATGGCTACATGAAGGTAACTACTCAGCCCAGTTGTCCTGGACAGTCCTTTTGTAGGCCAGTTAGGTCAGTATGCCCCCTTTCATTCTCAAAATACATTGATATGGATTAAAACTCGGTGTGGCTAGAAAGGTTGACCCCTAGGTACCAAGTTTCCAGTCCAGCAAAGTAGTTTCAGCAGCAGATGCAGAACAATGAGCTTAGATGAGGAGCATTTCAGTAGCAGGAAGACCAGAAGTCTTCAGTGTCTGAAAGTCCCCTACGCCACCAAGCTGGAGAGCTCAAAAAAATGTGAAATTTATGGCAGTCTAGCATAATGGGATTTGGGGAATCAGTTTAATGTAAAAGGTAATACTAATATAATGTGACATTTCTACACACCATACTTCTCAACAGGGCTGAATCCATGGGCATTGCAACCTGTGTGGCTGCACAATGCCATAGTCAGAAAGGCCTTGTGATTGATGTAATGCTCTGTTGTCGACATATTGAAATTCATAATAGTTTTTGAACAAGAGGCCCGGCATTTTCACTTTGTACTAGGCCTTGTAAATTATTTACTCACTCCTGTTTGCAAGTATGCAGAGTGAAACCTACATGTACTACATAGAGTTTTGAACATTTTTAACATCTCCACACTACCTGACTTGAAACTTACCTATTATAAATAGCCAATAAGTTTTAGGGCTGAATTAAAATCTTACAACAAATAATTAAAATTTTTCTTTTGTTTCACAATTTAAAACTTATCAGATTAAATTTTAAAACACAAAACCTTCCGGGCAAAGTGGGTTAAAAAAACCCTTGTAGAATTGTATATTGTAAAGCCAAGTAATAATGGAATCCCTGTGGACTAAACAATATCACTTAGCAGCCTGCACAACGTGAAAGACTAAAAGCTTTTAATTAGACTTTTACTCAATAGGGGAGAAAAAAATAATTTAAAAGACTCACGGCTAAATCTGAATTGTTAGTTTTAACTTTGAACACAATGAAGAAACAATTTGACTAAATTAGTTTAGCTGTGTATTCATTAGCCTTTAATAGAAATGTGAATGCAAACTGACTCCAGGTTATTGTACTTAGAGCCAGCTTTTTAATTAGTGATTGGCAAAATGTTTATCTAGTTTGTTGTGGGAATGTTGAATCATTTATACAACAGGACTGTTGCAAACCTTTATGCAATCTTAATTAGATCTTTTAGGAAAACAAGATTTCATGTATATAAAATCCAAACTATAGTAATAAAGTTAGCTAATTTATATCACACTTGGCACTTGAAAAGAAAAGGTTGTGTTATGTGGCTCAGTGAGGTGAAGAAATAGTTTATGTCTATTTAGTTAACTACAATGGTCAGTTGAACTTGGGTAAACCTTGGTTGTCATTGGCTTTGAAGTTGTACTTGATTTCCAGGTGGTAAGTGGCATACTAATCCTGTAATATTGGACACATTAATTAGCCTCTTTGAACCTAATTTCCTGCTTTGAGTTATTGTGAGTGTTCAAGATAATATATGAAAGGCCCTGTCCCTGTCACAGGCACTCAACATATGGTAGCTATAATCCTCATCATCATCATCATTGTCATCAATCAGGTGTTCTTTTAATGTACTTAAATTAAATATATTTTAACTATATTATACCTATATTTTACAGATAAAATGAATCACATGTTGTAAAAATCAAAATCCTACAAAATTTAATATACAAAGGCGCATACAGAGAAAAGTACTGTCCCATTCACCATGAATAATATGGCATATTGTATGCATTATTCAATAGGTTATGTCATAATTATACAATATAATAGCAACTTTATTATTCTACATCAATACATATAATAGGTCCTCATCCTTTTAATGACCACATGGATATTTCATCATTAAAATAAGTAGTGCATTATTGTTGGAAAAATAGGTTATTTCCACCCTTTTGCAGTTGTAAATATACTGAAGTAAATATCTTTACTCATAGATTATTTTGCACCTGTGTAAAGACAGCTGTAAAACAACGTTCTTAAATAACCTTTTCTCTTTCTGCCATGGTAAATTATTTGTTTAGTATTTCCATCTTTCCAAAGTTGTTTTCAGTAATTTATAATCATAAATATTTATTATTCTATTCAAAATCATATTAATATTTTTCTATTTATATTTTCACATTTAATCTCATTCATTACAGTCTCTTCTGACTTTTCAGTTTCTTCCAAATGCATGGCTACTTGCCTATTTTTATTTATTGATTAGGTTGGCTAATATGTGATCTCTTATTTTCTTCTTGTTAATATTATTAATATTGTCTTTGTTACTAAAACAGCTCTGGGATTTATTTCATTATGGAACTTTTTTGATTTTGTTTTTCTCTTTTTTTGTTTTGTTTTGTTTTAGAGACAAGATCTTGCTCTGTCACTTACACTGTAGTGAGTAATGCAATCCACGGCTCAATGCAGCCTCAAACTCCTGGGGTTAAGGGATCCTCCTGCCTCAACCTCCCAAGTAGCTAGGACTACAGGCATGCACTATCACACCTAGCTAATTGTTAAGTTTTTTGTAAAGATGGGGCCTCACTATGTTGCCCAGGATGGTCTCCAACTCCTGGCCTCAAGTGCTCCTCCTGCCTCAGACTCTCAAAGCACTGGGATTATAGGCATGAGCCATCATGCCCAACCTTGTTTCCTAATTTTTAGTCTTCTGACTCTTTTTGTCATTTTCTTTCTTCTGCTACAATGTAACTATGTTTTTGTTTTTATAACTTCTTGAGTTGAACGCTTAATTTAGTTTTATTCTTTTTTTATTTAGATGAACTTTTAAGTTTATGTATTTATATTCTTTAAAACTAGAATATTTTTATCCTTATTTTATTATTACAAGTTTTTTAGTATATGTATTTATACTTTTATAAGTATATGTATTATGCTTTTTTAATATGAGTTTTTAAGTTTTTGTATTACACTATTTTTAAGTGTATGCATTATACATTTTAAGTACATATATTTTTATGTATATGTATTATGTTTCTTAAAGTATAAGTATTATGCTTTTTTAAGTGTTTTTATTTATATGTATTATACTTTTATGTTTTTAAGAATGTCTTTATCCTTTTTAAATTAGAAGATTATTATTTTATTTATATGCATTTTTAAGTATATGTATTTATACTTTTAAAAATTAGAACTACGTTTATGCCAATAAAATTTATAATAGATAATACATAAACTACTTAAAAGACAAAAAAAAAGATTTAAGAAAAAATAGAATACCTGAGTAACTTACATCAAAGTTTTTCAGTTGATTGTTACAACAAAGAAAGTATTTTCTCTGAGTACTATTTTAGTTGGATACAATTGGTTCTGCTAGGTACTATTATAATTATTACTATTTTCTAGATATTTCAAAATTTTGATTGTGGATTCCTATAATCATAAGAGTGTTTTAAGACAGTTTTTAATTTTTAGGAGACAGGATTTTATTTTCTACTTTTATTTTTCTCTGAGCAGAGAATTTTGCCTTTACTGCTTCTATTTTTTTAATTCATTTTGGTTGTGCCTAATATAGTCATTATTAATGTTCTATATATTTATGCATAGTACATTAAATACATTATATACATAATGTACTATGCATATAATATACTTTTTGAAAAGAAATATGCTCTGTTTTCTTTGAATATAGTTTGATATTTATACTTAAGTAGATTTAACTTATTATTGTTTTATTTTTCTGTGTATTCACTTATTTTTCATCCTTTTAAATTCATATTGTCTGAGAGAAGTACATTAAAATGTCTTGCTACCAAATTCTGTCTGTATCATATCATATGTTCTATGTTTTGCATCTATTTTATTTGGCACATTATACATGATTGTTAACTATTCATTGTGAATTATCATAATAAAGATTTTTTTGTCTCATTTTGGCCTTTTTTTCTATATTAAACCTTATCTGATACTAAAACAGTAAGCTAGACTTTTTTGGTTGTTTGAATTGTCTGGAACACCTTCATGCATATTTTTTATTTTTAACTTTTCTTAGTCATTTTGTTATAGTTGCATTTATGTATTCAGTAAACATAAAAAGTGAATAAAAGGAAAAATCAATAAAACCAAGAGCTATAGTTCCATAAAAACACAATGAGATGGATAAACTCTAGGCTTACTGAGAGACATCCAGAGAAAGAGATACAAGAAGAAAGAGAGAGAGAGAGAGATACACAGAATATAATTATGATTATGAGGTATGAGCGAGAGTATTTCTACAGGCTCAAAAGGTATTAAAAGCATAATAAAAATCCAAGAACTATATTTATGCCAATAAAATTGGTAACAGATCAAATAGGTAAGCTACTTGAAAGACAAAAAAAATTAAACAGATGTAAGAAAAAAATAGAAAACCTGAGTAACTCCATATCTATTAAAGTTTTTCAGTTAACAGTTACAACAAAATCTAAGGCCCAAATGACTTCAATAGTGAATTCTATCAATCATTAAGTGAGGAAATAATGCCAAAATGACAAAAACTTTTTCAGAAAGTAAAGAATGTGAGACTACTTCCCAACTTATTTTGTAATGTTAGCATTTCTCTGATACCAAAATAAGACACAGACATTACAGTAATCTTTTATAAACGCAGCCATTAAAAATTTTGCCCCCGCAAAATATTATCAAATCAAATCCAACAATATCTAAAAGTACTATTACACAATGACCAACTTTATTTTTCCCCCGGGAATGTAAGATTGGTTCAAGATACTATATATATATACGTGTGTGTGTGTGTATATATATATATATACACACACACATATACACTCTCTAACACACACACACACATACAGAAAAAAAGGAAAACCACATACTTATCTCAGTAGGTATGCAAGAACACTTAACAAAATTTGACATCCACTTATAAAATTCTCAGAAAATTAGTGATAGAAATGAAATTCCTCAATTTAATAAATAATGTCTATAAAATACTTACAGCTAACATCATGCTCAATTATTAAAGAGTGAATGCTTTTTTCCTAAGACTAGAAACAAAAAGAGGATGTTTGCTAACACTACTTTTATTACACATTGCAATGAAACAAGTAGCAAGTTTAGTAAGTCAAAAAAAAGAAAGAAAACAAAAAAAGAAACAAAGGCATGAAGATAGGACAAAAAGATATTTTCACAACCGTCTTTATTCTAAGACACCTAATGTACATATTGAAAATCTTAAGAAATCTACAAAAAGCCACCGTGAATGGTGGCTCACGTGTGTAATCCCAGCACTTTGGGAGGCCTAGACAGGCGGATAACCTGAAATCAGGAGTTCAAGACCAGCGTGTCCAACATGGCAAAAATTAGCCAGGCATGGTGGTGGTAGCCCATAATTCCAGCTATTCGGGAGGCTGAGGCAGGAGAATCACTTAAACCTGGCAGGTGGAGTTTGCAGTGAGCCAAGATCATGCCATTGCACTCCAGCATGGGCAACAAGAGGAAAACTCCATCTCAAAGAAAAGAAAAGAAAAGAAAACAAAAGAAAAGAAAAGAAAAGAAAAGGAAAGAAAAGAAAGGAAATCTACAAAAAGGTATTATAATTCATAAGTAAATTAACAAAGTAATGAGTAAATCACAGGATACAAGGAAACTATTTCAAAAATCAATTGCACTTGCATATACCACAAATAAGTTCTAATTAAAAAACTAGAACTTAAAATTTTACTGTTTACTTTTTAAATTTATTCTAACATGAAATAACTAGGGCTGAATGTAATAAAATACATGCCAGACCTGTAGACTATAAACTACAAAATAGTCTTGAGAAAAATTAAAGATCTAATTTTATGGAAAGTTATGCCATAATCATGAGTCAGAAGATGTAACATTGTTAAGATGTAACTGATACCCAAATTAGTCTACATATTCAACATAATTTCAATCAAAACCCCAGGAAACTTGCAGAAATTAATGCATTGACCCTAAAATTTACACTGAATTGAAAGAACCTATAAAACCCAAACAGAGGAGTGTCCTATTCAAAGTTTGGATCAATGAAGCCAAGAGAAGAAAATGATCAGATTATAAACTTCCTAAGGAAACAAATTTCAAAAGAAACCCTACACATCACGAATCACAAGCTGCTTTGTTTTTTTATACATGAACTTAATCTACCTTCCCTTTCATCAAGTAAATAAAAATGTGTAATTCTGATTCAAAAAAAAAAGTTAGCTCTGGTGGCCAGGCACAGTGACTCATGCCTGTAACCCCAGAACTGTGGAAGGCAGAGGCAGGAGAAATGCTCAAGCCCAGTAATTCAAGACCAGCCTGGACAACACAGTGAGACCCCATCTCTACCAAAAAAGAAATACAAAAAGCTAGCTAGGCATGGTGGCATGTGCCTACAGCCCCAGCTACTCAACAGGCTGAGATGGAAGGATTGCTTGAGGTTGGGAAGTCAAGGCTACAGTGAGCCGTGATCATGCCACTGCACTCCAGTCTGGGCCAACAGAGCAAGACACTGTCTCCAAAAATAAAAATTAATAAATAAACAATGTTAACTCTGGTAACCAAGAAGAGGAGGAACTGAAGAATGGCAGGTCTATATAAAAAAATGTTTTATAGCATGAGATTAAAGTTGAAGATTTACTATAAAACTAGAAATATCAAGTGTGATATTGTCATAAGGATAAATATATAGAATAATGAAACAGAATACAGAATTCAGAAATTGATTTACTAACCTGATACCAAATAATTTTCTTCTTTTTTACTTTTATTTTGGATTCAGCAGGTACATGTGCAGGTTTCCCTCATGAGTAAATTGCATGTTGTTGAGCTTTGGTGTATGGATTATTCGGTCACTCAAGTAATAAGCACAGTACCCACACTCCCCTCCATCCATCCTTGCTCTAGAAGTCCCCAGTGTCTATTGCTGCCATCTTTATGTCCATGTATACCCAATGTTTAGCTCCCATTTATAAGTGAGAATATGTGAAATTTGGTTTTATGTCCCTGCATTAATTCACTTAGGATAATAGCCTCTAGCTGTATACATGTTGCTGTAAAGGACATTATTTCATAATAAAAAGGCATGGTAATTTAGTGGTGGCATGAATACTTTCAGCAAATATTTTAATGGAAAAATGAATAACCATATAGAAAAAATACAAACCTGAACCTTTACTCCATAACATACATGAAAATTAAATAAATGTAACTAAAATATCTCTAAATGTAAAAAGTAAACTTTAAAAAATTCTAGAAGAAATAGAGGAGAAAATTTTATGATTTTTGAGTAGGCAAATATTTCTTAGAAAATAAAAAATGATAAATTGGACTTCACCAAAATCAAAAATATTTTATTTTCAAAAGACACTGTTAAGAAAATATAAAGGCCAGCCACAGACAAAGACTGCCAAATATTGTATATACAGTAATACATCACTTGATGATGGGGAAACATTCTGGGAGATACCCTAGCACATTGATCTGGGCAAAGATTTCTTGAGTAAGACCTCAAAAGCACAGGCAACCAAAGCGAAACTGAACAAATAGGACCACATCAAGCTAAAAAGCTTCTGCACAGCAAAGGAAACAATCAACAAAGTGAAGAGAAAACCCACAGAATGAGAGAAAATGTTTACAGCCTAGCCATTTGAAAAAGGATTAATAGCCGGAATACATATGGAGCTCAACTAACTCAACAGCAAAACAATTAATGTAAAATTGGCAAAAGATCTGAATACATATTTCTCAAAAGAAGACATACAAATGACCAATAAGTATATGAAAAAATGTTTAATGTCACTAATTATCAAAGAAATGCAAACCAAAACTACAATGAGATATTATCCCACCCCAGTTAAAAGTCTTTTATCCAAAAGACAGGCAATAAAAGGTGCTGGTGAGGATGAGAAGAAAGAATCCTTCTGCATTGTTAGCAGGAATGTAAATTAGTACAGTCATTATGTTGACCAGTATAGAAGTTCCTCAAAAAACTAAAAACAGAACTACTATACAATTCAGTGGTCTCAATGCTGGGTCTATACCCAAAAGAAAGGAAATCAGTATTTCAAAGAGTTATCTGCACTGTGTTTATTGTATCACTATTCACAATAGCTAAGATAGGTAATCAATGAAAACATTCATTAATGAGTGAATGGATAAAAAATGTGGCATATATACACAATGGAATATTATTTGCTATAAAAAGAATGAATTCTGTCATTTGCAACAATATGGATGGACCTGAAGGACACTATGTTAACTAAGCCAGGCACAGAAAAACAAATACCATATTTTCACTTCGATGTGGAAGCCGAAAAAGTGAATCTCATGAAGATAGAGAGTAGATTGGTGATTAGTGGAGAGGGAGAGATCAAGCGGGGTTGGTTAATAGGTACAAAAATATAGGTAGATAGAGTGAATAATATCATGTTCTGTAGCACAATAGGGTGACTATAGTTAACAATAACATATTGTGTACTTCAAAATAACTAGAAAAGTGGAATTGGAAGGTTTCTAACACACGAAATGATAAACGCTTGTTAGGATAAATTTAAAGAGTAAATATTAAAATTTTAAGTTCTAATTTTTATTGATAGTATATACAAATGCAATTGATGTTTAAAATAGTTTCCTGATATCCTGTGATTTACTCATTACTCTGCCAATTTACTTATGAATTATAATAGCTTTTTGTAGATTCCTTAGGGTTTTCATTGTGTGTATGAAGCTGATCATTTATATTGGAGATGGCGATGATGTTGTTTGCAAGTGATGGACTTTTTATGGGGACTTGGTTTGCACTCAGATATTTTACAGAGTAGATTCTGAGTAGACACATCACTAGATTTTAGATTTGGATGCTTGAATGCAAAGCCTTCAGCTGATTCAAAATGAGGCTCATGACTTCTTCTCACCAAACATCATTTCGAAATTGGGCAGAAGAGGTCCAAACTTTTAGCATAAGACCCAGGAACTTGCTTGGAGGCATCCTCCCTCAGGGATCTTTATATGGTGCCTGATTTTTGTATGGAGTTGTAGAAAGGAAACTTACTGTTTGAAGTAGTTTCAATTCAAAGGATTCTATTTTTTCCTATGGAAAAATAGGACTGTACATCACACTTGTATCCTTTGTGTATATATGTATATTTCTCTAATGTCTTATTTCATCTTTGTATTATTTTTCATTTTATCCTTTTAGTATGTCCTTTAAGTTTATTTACTTTTTAATTAGCAGTACCTGTAGCTGGCATCATTGTTGAATGTAGTTTTCTATACTATACTGGTAACTATGGTGTTCACACATGTAAAAAATACTAAATCTGAGAGTTCTAAGTTCTCCTCATAATAAATAATAAATTACCCAGTTGAAAATAGAGTTTATTAAGTTATTTCATTATCAGTAGATATTAGGGTAAGATAAAGTTATTATCAGGCTCCTACTTCTAAAACACAGAAAGCAGATGTTTTTGTTGCTAGTGGGCTGGTTCAGTTCTTGACTTTACTGCACAAAAGAATGTGAGAGAGAGTCCAATGTAAAAGTTACTGTAAAGCAAAAGTATACTCTGACAGCGGATCAGAGCGAGCTGCTCAAAGGTGAGATAGCACTGACTGATACTGGGGAAATTCCCTTTATGGGAGTATTACATGATTATTCATGAAAGGGTGGGAAGGGGTGTTGATATTAAGCATATTACAAGTGGTTTCTTCAGCCTGCATGCACAGCAGCTCTACATGCTGGTATATACATCACATGCCTCATTAGCATCTTAAATTTCCACCCAGGGTTTACTATTGTAATGAGCATAGGTCAGCCCAAAGACATTGAGCATGGGTTTCTGCACTTGTGTGAGTTTGGGGATTTTCTCTTCTGCTCTTCTTCCTCCTTGCTGCAGGATGTTCTAACCACAAGCCCAGGATGCAATTTGTGCATTGTCGTGTGGTTTGTTCCTCCATTTATTTGGCAAGTTTTGCCCCTAAAGGGGAGGCTATGACCACCATATCTAATCTACCTCACTTGGACTTTTATCTTGTTGTTCTCCTCAGCCCATTTCTTACATTTCATCTGTAACTAAACAGAGTATATTATTTCAGGTAAGAAAGATCTATATTCAAATCCTGACTTTGTCACTTACCCTGACCCTTAAGTCACAACTCTCTGATCCTAAATTCCCTTCTCTATTAAAATAAAGAAAAGGGTAATAATGAGAATCATAATATTCCCTTTCATGAGTAAGAGAGAAACCATAGAGGTTGGGCATGTCAGTAAGCCTTAACAGAGAAAGTGATATTTCAACTGTTCTTTGATTCACAGGTGGGTCACAAAGAGATAAAAGTGTTACAGTCCAGTTGGGTTCTTCTTGCCCACTACCTAGAAAAAGCCAATGCCCTGAAACAGTAGGGAATTGCAGCAGAGAAAGTTTAATAATCACAGAGCAGCTGTGAAATGAGGATGGGAGATAATTCTCAAACCCACCTCCTTGAGATATTGGAGGCGAGGGTTTTTAAGGACAATTTGATGGGCAGCAGGCTAAGGAATAGATATTGCTAATTGGCTGGGTCAGGGATGAAATAATATGCTTGTCAAAACTATCTTCAGGCACTGAGTCACACTGAGTCAGTTCCTGGGTGGGGGCCACAGGACAAGCTGAGTCAGTTTCCAGGTATGGGTCACTAGTCCAGGTGCCATCAGTTGTTCTACCAAAATGTAAGGTCTAAAAAATATTTCAAACACCAGTCTTAGGTTTTACAATAGCAATGTCATCCATAGGGGAATTTGGGGACATGAAAGTTATACATCTTGTGACCACCAGCTACATAATCCTGAGCAGTAAGCAGTTACAAAAAGGCAAGTTATAAAACTATGACTGGTTAGAGTTTAACTCTACTGTATTAGTCTGTTTCACACTGCTATAAAGAACTACCTGAGACTGGATAATTTGTAAAGAAAAGAGGTTTAATTGACTCACAGTTCCATATGGCTGAGGAGGCCTCAGGGAACATACAATCATGGCAGAAGGGGAAGCAAGACACATCTTACATAGTGGCAGGAGAGAGAGAGTGAAGGAAGAAGTGCCACACACTTTCAAACAACCAGATGTCATGAGAACTGACTCACCTATCACAAGAAAGGCAAGTTGGAAGTCTGCCTCCATGATTCAATCACCTCCCGCCAGGCCCCTCCCCCAATACATGGGGATTACAATTAGAGATGAGATTTGGGTGGGGACACAAAGCCAAACCATATCACATACCTACATCTTAGCAAAAGAAACAATGACTGGTTAGAGTTTAACTATGCCTACATCTTAGCAGAATTCTGGCCCCTACCATAATTCTAAACTTTGTGGCTTTTCATTAGTTTTACAAAGGTGATTTTAACCCCTGAGAAAGGAGAGGTTTAGTTTTGAGAAGTGACTATTATCATTCTTGCTTTAAACAATAAACTAAATACCTCCTATAGTTGGTCTAGCCTACATGTAAATATGAGCAAAGACAGCTTCTGAGGTTAGAAGCAAGATGGAGTCAGCCGTGTTAGATTTCTTTCACTGTTATCATTTTGCAAGGGAAGTATCAGAAGGAAGAATGTAGCATTTGAAGGAGAATGTTTTCTTCAGCAAATGAACATTGGTAAGAAATTACAAGGTATACTTTGCAGCTATTCCAGTTTGTACATGGAGTAGGAAATTATGAGAGCTGTGAAAGATGACTATAAAGGCAGATTGGGATTAGATCACAGAGAGCTTTAAATTCTAAGACATAGAATTTCAAATTCATATGACAGCTAATGGGTAGAAGTAAAAATTCTTGACCAAGAAAATGATTGTTCAGAATTATACATAGAGAAGAGTATTCTGGTGATAATGAAAAGTACAATTGGTACTCGACCAACCAATGTCCATAATTCAAGAGAGGGTTAATTAGGAATTTACGTAGAATGAGACATCAGGTCTAAGATACTATCAGTTGTAACATGCATCCTTATTTTATGTACCATCATGAAAAAATGTAAAGCCCTGATAATTATACTTTGACACAATCCTAATACACCATTAATTTTAAGACATGTGCCAGTTTCGGACATTAAAATTTGAACAAATATGCATGTTAGAATTGATGAAATATGTTTTAATGGTTTAATGAAAAGGAAGAAGAAATTAAAAGTCTTGACAGAATTTGATAATCAAATTGCTGAAGATAGAATGGAAAAGGAAGTAATCAAACATGGGCTTGAGATTTTTAGTTTTATTTCTTGATGTCAGTATCAAAAAATGGGAAGTCATAATGAGAAAAATGGTTTAATTGTGATGCCATTGGGATTTCTGGGTGTTGTAAAAGAGTCAGAAATGTGAAATAAAGCTTGAAAACATGGTTGTTATTTGAGAGTGACATTTAAAAATCATCTCCTTAGGAGTAATTTTTAAAGCCATGGGAATATGTGAGCTCATTAAGTAGCAGAGGATATAGAAAGAAAATAGAACTAAGGTTAGGAAGCTAAATTTCTGGATGAGGATAAAGGAACAAACAAACTCCAAAAGCAATGATAATTAGAATAGCAAGAGGTGTGAGATAGAGTGAATTAAATACTTTGGGCATTTTGTGGTTATTTTGGAGAAAATCGTTACCTTCTTTAATCATTTGGATTGTGTGTGCTGGGAATGCACTGGTGATTAGGGGTTTGATGGAGGTGTAATTCGACTCTGGATGTCAACAGGATCACAACTCTAGATAGTAAACATTGCCTGTTAACTGATGATACCTGTGTAACTTAAAATGTCTTACAAGTTGTGTCTTGGACCTCATCAATATATTTATGCTAATAAACTCGTTTGTGGGAGGGAACATCAAAACAACAAAAACAACAACAACAAAAACAGAGAAAAAAAGAAGTAGAGAATAGAAAAACAGTCATTCTAGGATAGGGGATCCAAGTTGGGAAAGAAGAGTTTCCAGAAGAATGGGTTGGCCATTAGGGTCAGTGGTTATAGAACCAAGAAGGAAATCAGCTACTGCAGGAAGAAAAAATTGGTAAATTGGTTCGCTTTCAACCGAAGTTAATTAAATGAAGTTAAGTTTTTACATGCTGAAAAATAGTCTCAGAGAAACATGCAGAACAGATTTTATGTTCGTTTCTTTTTTGATATTTTTCCAGTGTTTAAGAGGGACACATTTTGTTTTAAAAGCTAGCATATAGGTGTTTAGAATCTGCCCCAAATTTTTAAAAGCTAATGCATGCAATTTACCAGTAATCTTAACTAAATCTGAAACATAGTGTCATAAAAACTTCTCTAGTTCCCAGTACTGCAGATGGTCATTAGAATTTTCAAAGAGAAAAAATAAATGTAGCATCCAAAAATATAAAAACAAAGAGCAAAACATTTCTCCAAATGAATAAGTAAATATTAATATGCATTATATTACAAGTACTTTCTAACAGAGGATAAAGATATCTGGTATATATTCTTCCAGAGCCAAAAGCTCTACCAAGTCACACCTTCTCATAGAAAGCATAATTTCATTGAAAGGAAGCACCTTATCTTATGCCCAGCTCCTCACTCACCCCAATAGCAACCTGCTTACATCTCATGAAGAAATGACTAGCACTTTCTGGGTCTCCACGTATGCATGGGCAGGGACTATGGGACTACTCCCATGTCAGCTTTTGTCCAGCTTCTGTTGTGTTTCCCAATTAGAAGAATAAACCAGTATTCAGATTCATTTATTGTTATACATTGCAGTTTTTGAGGAAATTGTAAAGTTAAATTCTCCTCTAGAAACATGCCTGGGTAAAGGAAAGGAGATTAGGGAGGAGTGAATCACCTTCTTCAAGTGCCCCCACCCTGAACATTCTATACTGGCAAAGTCATAGTAAAATGATCATTAAGGGGAAGACTTAATGCAGAAAATGTAGGCTCAAAAAGTAGGGACAGAAACTAACATTTGTTGAGCATTTAACTATGAGCCAAATCTTCTGCTAGATGCTTGAGATATATTCTTTTATCTCATTCTGAAAGCTACATTGTAAGATGTATATTATTGGTCCCATTTTACAAGTTCTGATATTGAAGACCAAAGAGGTTATTTGTAATCTGTGAAAGACGTTTAACAATATCTACCTTCTAATATTGTTGTATAAATTAGAGATTATTCATTTACACAAAAATACTTATTGAGTACCTGTTACATTCCAAGAACTGTTTTAGTTACATGAATAATAGAGCATCATGCATGCAACATACTAGCACTCAAAAGAAGGGCATGCATTTCATCTTATGGAATCACAAGCAAACAGAGAGTCAATTATCAAAGGGTCTGCTCATGACTTCTGAGGAATGTCCTTTTCCCTTAGTTTCCAGGCAGGCATTGATCATTGACGATCATCAGTGGAGGCTTTGCTGTGTTTCCTCTCTAGACAGCTGTATACCTGGATAACACAGTGTTAAATAAATGGACCAAGATGGCTCCTGTATATTGGCCTCTATTTAATATAACAGGCCAGGACCATTATGTCAAAGCCCACCAAACTCAAATTATTACACATTCAATTGCTTTAAATATAGGCCAAATAAACATATTTTTAACCAGTTAGAGTGTGCCCAATTTGGCCACCTGTGAAACTGCACCCAACACTTGCTGACCATAGATAAGACAAACTAAGTATGTGAAACAACAAAAACAATTTGTAACAAACTAATCGTAAAGAAAGATTATGTTTCCAAAGCTTATTATACCCCACCTCCCTATACACACACACACGAAACCAAAAAATCTCTAATAAAGGACCATAATCAAAACTTTGCTTAAGAATATAGTAAATTGAAAAAATTGGCACTGACTGTGGCCTCTATCTACAAAATACTCTTATTAAAATGCTAACTGTGTACATTTTATGTACAGTAGTTATATTTCTAAAGTTCTTTATCATGAGTTAATGTATAGTATATTAAACAGAAAAAATAGGGGCCTTCTAGTAAGAAAAATATATGGTAGGGGCACATTTAACCCATTAAAAATATAATTTGAAAAGTCTTTGATTTATTATTTACATGCAAATAGAAATAGCTATAATAAACTACTTCTTAATCCAGTTTACAGAAGCAATGTTTTATGAAATGTTGAAAAGAGCGGACTAGGTTTAAATTCCAGATTGGCCACTTAATAGCTGCAATATAAGCAAATTACTTATCTTCTCTGAGCCTCAGTGTTCTGATTTGCGAGCTAAAAAGAGTAACGTTTAGGATGATCCACATGAAATTGCTGATATTCAACAGTTTTTTACCTACAGAGAAGGCAAGTTCATGTGGTTTAATCAAATAATTAACTCTTATATGTATGGCGAGGGAATTACAGAGATAATCTGTGAAGAGCCTCCAGCATGCTTCTGGGAATATAGTCAACACACAATAATGTTCCCTTATATTTCTCTCAATTCTCCACGGATGATGCTGACCATTAGGATAATCTGGATTCAATTTTCTGTGTTAGTGAAGATACCCACAGGATGGGAAACCAAATGCTGCAAGTGATAGTCATATATTGTCACAGCTGAATATAGGTAATAATTATTTCTGCCTCCTATATTTTTTCAAATCAGGAAGCTGAATAGAGCCACTAATAGAGAATGCTTTACCATCCTACCTTAGAATCAAGGTCTATAAACCCACAAATTTTCTTATGTGGCTAATTCATCTTAACTCAAACTTTAAATGCCAGAAGGTCTAAGTGGGCCTTTTTGTGGTAATTTAGAGCTTGAAATAAAATTTAACATCAGTGTTAGTTTAGAGTGATGTTGTGTTAGAACTTAATAAACATTACCAACTGTAGCCATTTCATAATAATTAAGTTACGAGGAACATTTATTAAAATATTTAAAGGAAAGATCCCTAAAATAGAACTAAAACATTAAGTTAGCAATATAGGTCGTAATATATTTTCCATGCTGCTTCCTATAAATTTATCTTCCTCACACCTACTATTTAACCTTTTTAAGGCCCCCTAGGCTTACTTATTTTATGTAAACTTTAGCATAATAATGCAATATTCACAAAATCTTTAAAAAGAACAGGCCACTCTGGTTTTATAGGCATGCTGTTGTTTTATACACAGTTTGTTACAGAGCATAAACATGCTATATTCAAAATAAGAATACCAGCAGCAGAAAACAGCAGAATGTCATGACCACTTCAATTAAGAAGTATAGATATTTGTTAGATTAATTAAAACTCCAGGCTTTGATTCAGAAAAATATTAACTGCAATTCAGCCTCAACTAGATTCCAAACTGGCAAAAAGCAAACGTATTAATATGTGGTCAATAATGACTGACAGCCTTAGCAAAATCTGGTAAAAAATCAAGAAATGATTTTCTGGGTATAAAGTTTAAGCATACTATAATCCATTTTTCATCTGCTCATACCCTGTCAGTGGTATTATTATATTGCCTATGGAACTCAAATTACAAAGCAATCTTTCTTTGCTTATGTTATACCATGCCAAGTAGGCCCAATAATTCAGAAATATAAAACCACTACCACTGCCCATTTTCAATAGAAAGCAAATAATTGGCTAGGTTTTTATTTGAATAGTAGCCTTGCTTTCCACAGATCAGAGGAAAGATAAAGTGGAACAAGTTAAGAAGGAAAAAAGGAAAAAGAAAAAGATTGCCTCAGAGGTGACTGAAGTTAGCAAGGGCATCCAAGAGTCAGGATCATAGCACCACTTTGTCATTTGTTTTCTCAAAGTGTAACCAAAGGTTGTTTCCAGCTCTTGATTTAGGATCTAAGCAATCCTGGCAGTACTATCTCCTTCATCAAGTATTCTGTATTCATTCCCTAGCAAAGCTGGTTATCGATTAATTTTTTTCTGATTAAATTTACAAGAATAATACAAAAGCAATTGCCCCATGAATTTTGCCTCTGATACCCCAGCCGACCAAATGTAAAAGTGGCATATGGCATAAAAGCAAGCTGCAGATGGCCCAACAACAGCCGTGCACATCTGGCACATGGTTGTTTGATTTTGTCTTTGCCAACTCGCCAGATGACTCTTTCTGGAGAGAAGCCCAATAAGAGAAATTCACTCATCTTCCTTCTTTCACAAGCTCAATGTTTTACTCACTCTTCTCACTCGCATCTGTACATCTTGAAACAATTATAAGATTCTCAGCCATTCTAAAACAAAAATATATATATTTTTCTGGTTCAATATGACAGTAAATAGTAACCAGGTTCTCCGATTTTACAACCTCTGTAACTAATTCAGAGCTTTATATTTGGAAGCTAGTTAGCCTATAAAATGAAAGAACATTTGGTGCAATGACTATTTAGTGGTAAAAATACACTGATAAAAATCCAGGAATATCACTTTCCCTCCAAAATCCTTGTAGCTAGATACTGGAATCAAGCTATCAAGATATTTTTAATCTCACTCAATTTGACAGTAGAGATACAATTGGAATAGAATATTAAGAAATCACTCTTATTACAAAAATTATTTTTTATGGGAGGTAGATTTATATGTTCTACGACAAGAGCATATATGCTTTAAGTATGAGCTATCAGCATAAGATGTCTGTGGTTGTTATTTTTGCTAATCCCCAACTATTACCTATTCTCCCTATTTCTAGACACAGGATGTGATTGATCTTTGCGACTATGTGACTTGCTTTGGCTAATAAAATTTGAGTGCAAGTGACATATGCCATGTCCACGTGAAAGACTTCAAAGCCAGTATATGATTTACTACATTTCCTTCCCACTGATGAAGTGACCCTGAAAGCACATGTATAGAAGGAGCCACCATCAACCTGGGTCTCTAAATAACTACAATGAGTAGATGTTTTGCTGCCAAGTCACTTCAGACATATAGACTAAGTGAGAAACTTTTATTAAGCACTGAGATTTGAGAAGGTTTTTTTTAGTGTATTATTAACCCATCCTCACAAAGTCAAACACAAATTTCAGGAATACAATCATCTTAACTTCAAGTTTAATTAAAAAAAAGAGTGATTTAATAACTAGTTCTCAGACAAACTATCTTATATAATCATATTTAAAAATGACAGGATTTTATTGAGAAGTCGAGAGACTTCAGTCTCTGACTAATTACCCCCCTTTCTTCTTGCTTCACCACAGAGAGAAGTGAAATAAGATAAACTGGAAGTACAAATGGAACCTTTATAGTAAAGTGTTATAATCCAGCATTTAAACTATTTCCATGCTATTGTATGATCTGAAGCTTAATAGAAACTAGCAGTAGAGACTCTAGAAACCATATTTCCTTCAAGTTCCTGGAAAACAGAAAACATGAAAATACCTAGAGACGATTTTTTTTTACTATAAGAAAAAAGTGTTTGGGAAGCTATCAAGGATTTTTGTTTTGCTTTTTTTTTTGCTGTTTTTTGGTCATTTTATTTGTTTTCTTCTATTTTAACAATTCTAACCTTGATTTATCTTGGGCTGATAAAAGTTAGATATTAAAGACTTCACTTCCCATTATGGGTGACTGACACCAAGAGTCCAATGACTCACAGGGTTGTGTCTGAACATTACCTGAATTTTTCTTCAGTGCCTCACAGTCAACATGTTCAAAAGAAACAAGTCTCCTTCCTAAAATTTATTTCTTCTACTCAATTTCCCAGCCACAGAATGCAACCACCATTCCCTCAAGTTTTCTGAGTTAAAGGTACATGATCCACCCTTGGCTTCTCTATATTTCCTGGTTTACTAGGTGATATGGCTTGGCTCTGTGTCCCCACCCAAATATCATCTGAAATTGTAATCCCCATGTGTCGAGGGAAGAACTCAATGAGAGATGATTGGATCATGGGGACAGTTCCCCCATGCTGTTCTCATGATAGTGAAAAAGTTGTCATAGATCTGATGGTTTAAAAGTGGCAGTTTCCCCTGCATGGACTCTCTCTCCTGCCACCTTATGAAGAAGGTGCTTGCTTCTCCTTCGCCTTTCACCATGACTGTAAGATTCCTGAGGTCTCCCCAGCCATGTGGAACTGTGAGTCAACTAAAAACCTCTTTTGTTTATAAACTGCCCAGACTCATGTATTATCTTTATAACAATGTGAAAATGAACTAATACAGATAATTGGTACCAGCAGAATGGGATACTACTAAAAGATAGCGTGAAAATGTGGAAGCAACTTTGAAACAGGCAGAGGTTGAAACAGTTTGGAAGGCTCAGAATAAGACAGGAAGATGTGGGAAAGTTTGAAACTTCCTGGAGACTTGTTGAATAGTTTTGGCCAAAATGCGGGTAGTGATGTGGACGATGAAGTTCAGGCTGAGGTGCTCTCAGATGAAGATGAGGAACTTGTTAGGAATTGGAGCAAAAGTTACTGCTGCTGTGCTTTAGCAGACTGGTGGCATTTTGCCCCTGTCCTAGAGATCTGTGAAACTTTGAACTTGAGAGCGATGATTTAGGGCATCTGGTGGAAGAAATTTCTAAGCAGCAAAACATTCAAAAGGTGATTTGGCTTTTGAAAGCATACAGGTATATATGCTCACAAAGAGATGGTTTGAAATTGGAACATATGTTTAAAGAAAAAGCAGAGTGAAAAGTCTGGAAAATTTGCAGCCTGACCATGTGGTAGAAAAAAAAAACAAACATATTCTGGGGAGAAACTCAAGCCAGCTGCAGAAATTTGCATAAGTAATGAGAAGCTGAATGTTAATAGCTGAGACAAAGGGGGAAATGTCTTCATGGCATCTCAGAGATCTTCAAGGCAACCCCTCCTATTAAAGGCCTGGAGGCTTAGGAGGGAAAAATGGTTTCAGGGGTCAGGCCCAAGGCCCCACTGCTCTGTGCAGCCTCAGGACATGGCGCTCTGTGTCCCAGCTAATCCAGCTCCAGCCATGGCTAAAAGGGGCCAAGGTACAGCTTGGGCTGTGGCTTCAGAGTATGCAAGCACAAAGCCCTGGCAGCTTCTACATGGTGTTGGGTCTGTGGCTGTGCAGAAGAAAAGAACTGAGGTTTGGGAACCTCCACCTAGATTTTAGAAGATGTCCAGGAACACCTGGATGTCCAGGCAGAAGTTTGCTGCAGAGGTAGAGCCCACGTGGAGAACTTCTGCTAGGGCAGTACAGAAGGAAAATGTGGGTTTGGAGCCCCCACACAGAGTCCCCAGTGGGACACTGCCTCGTAGTGCTGTGAGAAGAGAGTTACTATACTTCAGACCCCAGAAAGGTAGATCCACTGACAGGTTGTACCATGTGCCTGGAAAAGCTGAAGGCACTCAATGCCAGCCTGTGAAAGCAGTGGCAGGCACTGTACCCTGCAGAACCACAGAGGCAAGCAACTCAAGACCTTGTGAACCCACCCCTTGCATTAGTGTGCCCTGGATGTGAGACATGGAGTCGAAGGAAATTTTAAAGATTTAATGACTGCCCAGCTGGGTTCCCAACTTGCATGGGGCCTGTGTCTCCTTTGTTTTGGCCAATTTCTCCCGTCTGAAACAGGAACATTTACCCAGTGCCTGTATGTACCCCCATTATATCTTGGAAGTAACTAACTTGCTTTTGTTTTTACAGGCTCATAGGTGAAAGAGACTTGCCTTGTCTCAGATGAGACTCTGGACTTGGACTTTTGGGTTAATGCTGGAATTAGTTATGGCTTTGGGGGACTGTTGGGAAGGCATAATTGGTTTTGAAATGTGAACAGGTCATGAGATTTGGGAGGGGCCAGGGTGGAATAATATGGTGTGGCTCTGTGTCCTGCCCAAATCTCATCTCAAATTGTAATCCCTACTTGTCATGGGAGGGACATACTGGAAGGTGATTGGATTATGGGGGCAGTTTCTCCCATGCTGTTCTTATGATAGGGAGTTCTCACAAGATCTGATGGTTTAAAGTGGCAGTTTCCCCTGCATGCACTCTCTTTCTCTTGCTGCCTTGTGAAGAAGATGCTTACTTCTCCTTCACCTTCTGTCATGATTGTAAGTTTCTTGAGGCCTCCCCAGCCATACAGAACTCTGAGTCTATTACAACTCTTTCATTTATAAATTACCCAGTCTCAGGAAGCATCTTTATAGCATTGTGAGAACGGACTAATATACTAGGTCTTGTTGACTTTGTTTCCAAATTTTTCCCTTCTGTCATCACCATTTCTATTGTTTTAGATCAAGATGTTATTATATTTCATGGGAATATTGCTATAATCAATTAACTTCTTTTTGCATTTAGACTTGCCTCTCCCCAGTCCACTTTTTTTTTTTGGCTACCAGAGTTAACTTTGATCATGTCACTCTTCTGCTTGACTCTCACTTTTCCAGTTGTTTTTAATTTTTTGCTTTGTATGGTCACATATCTTAATATTCCAACAAGTGTCCAGAAGCAATAATTGTTTTATTAGTTGTCTTAATATTTTTCCTCTGTAGACATCAATCTTAATATCATAGCAATTTTTCATTATTGTCCATTGTAATAATGATTTTAAAACTTTAAGAGCAAATGAGCAAAGTTGGGCAAGTGTAGTTTATAAAAGACCCAGAGAGGATTCTGATATCTTTCACTCTGATTGAGAATAACTAACCTATTTAATAAAGTCTAAATGCATTATCATTGCATAAAAGATGCTTCATAATCTGAAAGCTGCCTGATTTCATAGTCTCAACTCCTCACCTATCTCCCTGCTTGCTCTTCATACCCCTACCCACTAACACACATGGAAACACACATATACAAACATATCCAACTCTACCAAACAACTTGCATTTACCTAAATATTCCATGATTTATCACATCTTCTTATATTTGCATATACTTTTTACTTTACCTGAAATATTCTTCTCCTAATTTTCCACATAATATCTTATTCATCATTGAAATTTCAATGTTACCACTTCTATGAAGATTTTTTTCTTCTTTCCCCAACCCCTAACATTACCTGATCTCTCATTTATGCTTTTATAGTACTTCAAAAGTCTTATTTTTAAAATGCACTCATCCAACTTTATCTACCTGACTAGTGTATTAGTTTGCTGGGGCTGCCATAACAACATATGGCTTAAACAACAGAAATTTATTTTCTCACTATTATGGAAGCTAAAAGTGTCAGATCAAGATGTCAGCATGACTGGTTTCTTCTGAGGCTTCTCTCTTGGCTAGTAGATGGCCACCTTTACCCTGCATCTCTACATGGTCTTCTCTCTGAAGATATATGTGTCATAAGCTCCTCTACTTAAAAGGACACTGGTCATATTCAATTAGGGCCCACCCCAACTTTCTCATTTTAATTTAATTAACTATCTAAAGACTCTATCTCCAAATACAGTCACATTCTGGGTACTAGGGGTTGGGACTTCAATATATGAATGTTGGAGGAAACAATTCAGCATATAACAACTAGGTCAAATACTTTGAGTCAAGATCTGTCTTAATGACTTATGTATTTCCAGTTTCTAGCAAAACCTCCAATACATAACTTCAGTGAGAGCTCTCAACCCATTTCCCCTAAAAATAAACAGAGATGGAAGTTGAAGGTAGGTCCAAATCCGTAAGGAGGAGAGGTCAGAGAGAGGTCGTGAGAATAGCATTAATTCACAGGATTCAGTCAATGACCTAGGTCACTTATTTACCACGCTGCTGACCAGGCAAAAAGTATCAAAAAAGGTGAAGGTGAAAAAGGTAAAACAGCTTATTGTCACTGAGGATGAAATGGATTCAGTCACAAGTATTGGGAAACCAAGACATAAACCAGAAAATATAGTTCTTGATAAACAAAATAATAAGGCAGAAATCCTAACACTAAACCTTAGGGCTATTATTAGTGCCAACATTTTAGTTGTTGTGGTCACATCTGTTAGCTATTACCACATGATATTATGTAACAAATGGCCCCAAATTTATTGGCTTAAAATGGCAACTCAGGCATGGGTGGTTCAGCTCGGGTAGGGAGAGGTGGTTTACTCATCTACTCTAGGTCAAGCTGGCCAGCTCTGTTTCAAGTTTTTGTTGTGTTTAGGCTTATCCTCACTGTGGGTTGGATTCAGGTCAGCTCCATGTGTGTTCATTCTGGGGTCCAGTGTAAACAAACAGCATCTACGCAGGGGAAGCTATGCTCATGGTGACAGCAAAAGTGCAAGAGGGGAAGCCCAACCAGGTTAGTCCATTTCAAGCCTCTCTTTGCATCATATCTGCTAACATTACGTTGGCAAAGCAAGTCACATGGTTGCATACAAAGTGAAGGTGGGGAGTTCACTCCACCTGTAGTAGAAAGGATAGCAATGTCACATGACAAAAGCCATGGGTACAGGAAGTGGTGAATAATTGGGGCCAATTACACAATCTACCATAAGGACCTTCAAGATACTGAGGTTAACGTTACAGGAGACAACGAAGTTGACTTTCAGTCACTTCATAGATTGTTTTTTCTTTACCTATCCTTAAGTAAAGATAAAATTTACTTAGTAAAGATAAGTATCTTTATCTAAAGATAAATCTACTTAGTAAAGATAAAATTTACTTAGTAAAGATAAATATCCTTATCAAAATGGAAAAAACATAATTACTCAAATAATATACAAAAATATTTAGTCATCAATCAATATCTTATTCCAACATAGAATTATATAAACTTTACTAATTTCTGGTCCCTCCCAATATAATACCTTTTACCTGGCTGAATCTTACTCTTTGTACAAATCCCAGCATACACAAAACTGTCAATGTTGAACATGCTACTCTATGCTCTCACAGCATTTTCAGATTCTTGATTTTTGAAAATTTCCTTCTATTTCAGTATAGGGACAACCAGGTCTATGGTTATATTGTTAACTGCTGTAACAGAAACATCTAATACAGTATCTGGTGCATAGTACTCACCAAGTAAATGTGTGTTGAATGAAAAGGAATGATATCCTTGGCTTACAGTCTTCTCAGAGTTAAGTGGTGGGTCTAAGAGTATTACTGGATCTTAGGAGGGCCTGAGACTGTGTCCTGCATCTCAGTCAATAGGACCTCTAAAGAAGGCAATACAAGGCCCCTGAGTACAAACTAAATGCAATAGCTAACTCCAATTTAAACTCACACTTGAGCTATTCTGGTCTATAAATAATACTTTTTCATCATTGTATTTCTTTATTAGAATAGATAAATGCTCCTTTAAGATGATTTATTGGATCTCTGTCCTCAGGATCAGAATATGTAAGTTAAACACATGTTGGGGAGGTGAGAGGAATGTCTGAAACTGAGGGCAATTATCTTGTTAATAATAGAAATCCTTCTGGCATCAGGAGTTAACGCAGGCCTATGTCTGCAGCTTGAGTAAAATCCCCAGATGATCTGTGTTCCCGGTGAACCAACAGAGCAGCAGTAGCTTCTGTGGCTCAGGAGAAAGGTGCTGCTAGTTCGACATCACAGTTAGGCCAGGTTTCAAAGATTTGGAGGGAAGAGGCCAAGGCACTGGCCCCTTAGGGGAGATAACAGGAATTCCAGGAAACTATTACTGCTACTAAATTTGCTATCATCTAATACAGTAGGTTACTGAATGCACTAAATAATGAAAGCCACATATTAAGGCAATGGTATTCCACTTTTTACCTCCCTAAAAATATTGTTAAAGTCATGTTTAGAGATAGTACCTAGTTCGAGTTGATTTTGGGGTGGTCAAGCCTCAAAGTTAATAATGGAGTTGGATATAAATTATCCAAACTCCTTACCACAGCCTTTAGAGCCTCTATGATCTACCCTCCCAGCCTTGCCTACCCCTTCTCATCTTGGAAGCATCTGGATCAGTACCAATTCAAATATACCAGTATTAATTCTGACTCCCTGAAACTCAAATGCCAAAGTCTTTCCTGTGTCTATCCTTTTATCTCCACCGTCTCCTGTACTTACAATGTTTTTCTAAAATGTCTTCCTGGATGGCTCCATATCTTCATTCAGATCTTTGCTAAAACACCACCTGCTGAAAAAAGCCTTCCCTGACCACATAATCCAACAGTCTCCTCACCCCAGCCACCCTTGCTCCCTTTATTTTTCTTCATAGCACTTGCCATTCTATGAAGTTATCTTATTTGTTGATAATACTCCCTACTAGAAGAGAAGTTTCTCAAGGATAGAGACTCAATAAGTATCTTGAATGAATACATTCATGAATGAACCAAAGAATACAAGCAGAACCGGCAGTAAGACTGCTGAATTTGATGCGAATGACAGAGCCTTGTTGTAGGATTGATCTCAAAGTTTGGTGTGAGACTAATTACAATAATAATTGCTAATAATATTATCCTGCTTTTACAGAACATATGCATGGGCCAGGCACTGTGTAATGAACTTTACATGCATTAACTTATTTAATTCTCAAATAACTCTATGAGACAGGGTACCATTTTTATTTCTGTTTTACAGGTAAAGAAATGGATAGTCTCAGGGACTATAAGTTGAAGGACTTTTGGTAAGTATGAGGCAGCACAGAGAGAGTCCAGAATGTTTTATTTAAAGCATAAGCCCAATGCTATGATGTCTACTGGGATACACAATGCAGTCCTGTTTGGTCCTTCGCTTTCTGGAAGTTATGCCACTAAAGTATGAATTTAACTACCTCATAGTTTTGTTTTCACTCATTTTCACCCAAAATTTTGCTCATGTCACAGAGGATTTGAAATCTGTAATAAGCTTGATTTCAATTTTCCCTTTCCCTTCTGGGTCATTATGACCTTGATGGCCTGTCATGGTTTCACAGATCTTTTCTATAAGTCTCTAAGTCCTTGAAACATGTACATTTCCTTTACTCTTTGTTTATTTTGCTTACTTCTTGGTAATATGCTTTTCTCACCCAGTATTCATCCTCTATTCTCTATCACTGACTACTGCTTTCCTGGCCTCCATAGCACATTGTAACTAAATTTATAATCTCTTTTGTACATAAGATGAGGTTATTAATATATAAATTGGAAATTCCAATTTAGTGATCAATGTGTAGTTTCTCTTTTGAAAATTTTAATATTCCCATCACAATTAGTAATAACAAATGGCATTATGGTCTTTCCTGTTGTAATCTATTTTGCTTTCTCATAACTCTTTTATTAAGAATATTTCAAAGAGTAAGAAATGTCTCTCAGGTAACCTCGGCATCTAATTTTCTGCTTTGGCTCCCGTGCTTGGCATATACACAGACATTCACACTACTAGAGTCTAAATGAGACAAATATGTTTGTTGTTATAGATCTGGAGCCGAAACAGTTTCTTCTTTTCACTGTGTCCACAAAAACATAATGACAAGCAAAAGAATGACTGGCACACAAATTTTCTAACCAGAGATAGCAATTAGACTTATAGTCAATGCCTACAGTGGTAAGGTCAATATTAAAAAACTGAGCTGGGGTGGTCAAAACTAGGCTATGTTCCTGGGAATTATGAATCCTGGCCTTGGAAGAAGGGACTATGGGATATAGTATTGCTTTAAGTGTTCACCCTCCAATGTGGTGTTCTGTATATTGTCAGCATTTCTTAATTTGTGCAATAAAAATCTAATGTTTGCCAGGCAATTCAATTTGAGATTCGGCTCAATGTTTATGGACTAGTTTAGAAATAAGTCAGTCACTGTGATAGAAATTTAAATAAATACGAGCTCTATATATTCTTTCTTCTAATTCAGAAATCTAAACATGGGGTTTTCCATTCACCTTTGGCTTATTTTCATGTGGCTCCTTTCACTTACATGTTTGCATATGGCTGGTTAAATATAAAGTGGCATGAAAATCAAAGTTAAATAAATAATAATTAAAGGGGCGTAGCAAAAACAGCCCATATCAATAGGGCTTTGTGGAGAGGGGACACAGCAGTAATTGAGACATGCATTTGAGAACTGCTGCTGCATCCAACACCTCTGAAGGAGTAAATATCTATGTTCTAATCAGATTTGATCTTAATAGGAAATGCCATACACAAAATACCCACGTGTAAGAAGGTCTAAGGTCATGGCTCTGAAATTAATTCTACAGTAAATCCACACATCAAACTCCATGAACTTCAACTGGAGTTAGGAAAGACAATTTCAGAACCTGGCTGTGGGTGGATAATTTATGATGTGGTGTGAAACAAGGGACTTTCTATACCTGAGCAACACAAAGGGCTGAATTTACTGCCGTCAATTACTTTTATACAACAGCAGGGTCAGCCTCTGCCCCCAATTACTCATGTGCAGAAACAGAACTGGTAGCAAGAAAATCAACAGATCCTCAGAGGTTGTAAAAGAAACCTGGAAATGAATTGAGCAGATAACATTGGTCTCTCCATCCTCTGGCCCTAGGCACCAGGAAAGTTTTGTGGTCTTAAAGAACCCACAGTCAGACATTTTGAAATTCTGATTCTAAAAGAATGCCTTAAGTTTGGTTCTCCTTATTGTATGCAGGAGAGTATAGTCTGGAGATAAGTAGGAGCATACTTGGAGTATCTCACACATCTTTTTCCTTTACCAATAACTGAAGCAGGACATAAGTGCTGTCTGGATACCAGAGAAGCTCTTGAACTGAGTAATTCTATGCAGAAGGGAAAGGTTTTACCTATCAGCTTAATAAAACTTGGCCTTTCCCTATGTTTGGTACATGCCAAATCTACCAAAGTGAACAAGACAAAAGATAGAGTCATGGACCTGCGAAACCATAGTCCCAGTCTTCCTTCCCTTTTAAAAGCCCATTTTCTGCCTACATTTTGGGAGTACGGGCCTGGACCAAATGTTATTGGTCACCTCTTCTCACCTTTAGGTTAGTTGTTTTCAACAGTGCTCCAGTGTCTAGGCTGCTCCCTGTTCCTTAACTTAATCACAGAATTCCTGTATTTATTAGATTTACATAATTTGGATCTCAGGTAAGGTTTTATTAAAATAAAGGGTTATGCATCTAAAGATTTGAAAAGCATTGTAGAAGTGTAAGCTCAAGTTTTTCTTCTATCCTCATTTATACCCCCTTGAACTCCTCTTGAAGACACAGACAAACCATAGTTCTGAGGAGACAATGAGGCCAGACTATGTGGAAGTGTAGCTTTTAGTATGTGGAATTATATATTGAACATGGATGCAACCATTCTTTCTTTTTTGTTTTTGTTTTTTTTGTTTTTTTTTTGAGATGGAGTTTCGCTCTTGTTGCCCAGGTTAGAGTTCAATGGCGCGACCTTGGCTCACTGCAACCTCCGCCTCCCGGGTTCAAGCAATTCTCCTGACTCAGCCTCCCGAGTAGCTGGGATTACAGGCATGAGCCACCATGCCCAGCTAATTTTGTATTTTTTTTTTGAGACAGTCTCACACTGTCACCCAGGCTGGAGTGCAATGGTGCAATCTTGGCTCACTGCAACCTCTGCCTCCTGGTTTCAAGCAATTCTCCTGCCTCAGCCTCCCGAGTAGCTGGGATTACAGGCATGTGCCACCACGCCCGGCTAATTTTGTATTTTTAGTAGATATGAGGTTTCTCCATGTTGGTCAGGCTGGTCTCGAACTCCCAACCTCAGGTGATCTGCCCACCTCGGCCTCCCAAGGTGCTGGGATTACAGGCGTGAGCCACTGTGCCTGGCCGAATGCAACCATTCTTATTGGGGAAGCATGCTTCCATTTTCTCTGAAGAGCTCACTTCATTTATTCCCATGTAAGGTGAAGTTGCAGAGGTTCAGGGAAGGGTGCTTTCTAATGAGGAAGACTTATGGGACCAAGCTATAGTCTGGATACCCAGAGCAGCTGACACTGCTTTGTAAGTGGGCACGGCCAGGCTGGGGCCCTAGTAGAGGCCAGCAGACTAAGGAGTGCTCAGGTCAAACCAGCCCTGTCTGATGTGCAGGACCACCCTGCAGAGATCAGGTCCAACAATTCCCCTAAAGCAGAGCATGACCAGGAAGGCCGGCTGCTCTGCTGCAACATCTGTAGCAGATGTAGCCATCCCTCTAGGCTCCACCTGCTCCCATAAGACCTAAAGCCTAGAGGGATGGCTGTCCCTGGTCGTGCTCTGCTACAGATGCTCCTGCACCAAACCCACTGGGCTCCACATCAGCTGGCTTGCTGGTTCACCACTTTTCTTGTCTCCTGGGGGTGCCATCCCAGAGAGATGGAGGCCAGCAATTACTCAGTGCAATCAGCCCAAGATCGAGGGTCTGTGCTGTGGGCCCAAGCCAGGTGTTCCCTGTCTGGTGATGAGCAGTGGCGGAGTGTGGGAATTATGGACGATCCACTGGCCTCCTCTTCTTGAGTCAACTTCAGCTTGTTGGAGATGTGGATAAGGTACTAAGGGTCTTTGCTCCTTTGTTAGCCCGAGGGTACCAAGGACGGTTCCACAGCAGAAGCAGTGGCAGAGAGGACCTGACAGAGCTATTGAGCCAGTAGCAACTTGGCAACTACCTGGACAGAACTTCTAGGGGCAACTGAAGGCCTCAGTGCTGGAGACCCCAGTTAGGAGGCTCTGCCTGGTGATGAGTAACGGGATCTGGAAACTACTTTAAAAAGTAGTCTGGCCATGTCTTTGTAGGGCTGTGCTGGGGTGCCACTTATGCCCCTGGTTGGCTTGGACTTTCCAAAGCCCAAAGGCTGGAACCGCTAAGTCACCCAAACAGCAAAGATAGTGGCTCTTCCCTCCCTCTGGGAGCTCAGTCTCAGGGAGGTTTGAAAACTTTGTCAGCTAGAGAACACTGGTGGGGGTGGCTGGAGACCCCGGTTGGGAGGTCCTGCTCAGTGAGGAAGAATAGGATCAGGGACCCACTTTAAAAAGCAGTCTGGCCACATTTTCTCAGGACAGCTATGGCTGTTTTAGGGGACCACCTCTGCCTCCAATCAGCTTGGACTCTCCAAAGCCCAAAGCCTGGAACTGCTAAGTCACCCACGCAGCAAAGATGGTGACCTGCCCCTCCCTCTGGGAGCTCTGTCTTGGGGAGTTTTCAAATCTCTGTCAGCCAAAGAACACTGGCAGGGGTGGCAAGAAACCCCAGTTGGGAGGTCCCACCTAGTGAAAAGGAATGGGATCAGGGACCGATTTAAAGAAGTAGTCTGGCCATGTTTTCATAGCGCAGCTGCCATGTGCTGGGTACTGCTTTTGCCCTCGGCCAGCGTGGACTTCACAAGGCCTAAAGGCTGGAATGGCTAAGTCACCCAAACAGCAAAGATGGCAGCCCACTTCTCCCCATGGGAGCTTTGTCTCAGGGAGGTGTAGCCCTGCTACTGGTGACTGGCTGGAATCCCAGGCCAGTGGGACTTATCCTGTGAGGTGCCACAGAAGTGGGGCCTGCAGACTGTGGCTGCTTGCCTCCCTGGATTCAGCCTCCTTTCTAGGGGTGTGTATGGGGTGTCTAACCTCCCATTTAGCCAGAGTTGCAGCTGCTTTTGCTGAGAAGCCTGGAAAGCCCAAGTATCTCCTGGGCCTCTGTGCCTGCCTGAGCCGCTGCTCTGCCGAGACTCCATGTAGCTCTGTGTGTCAGACTAAAGGCCCTGGAGGAGTGGGTTCATGAGGGAATCTCCTGACCAGAGAGTTGCAAAGATCTATGGGAGAAGTGTGTGGGGGCGGTCACACATTCACTCACCACTTCC